>NC_000013.11:81770600-81923440 GCF_000001405.40 Homo sapiens
TTTTTGCCATTGCTGCTAGATAGCAAAATAATTGAGGAAATGCATGTAAATTACACTGAGAAATTTATTTTCTGGAGTATTATTTTTACCATATAAAATAGTTGACCTAATAGTGAGGTTTCATATTATTAAATTCCATGGAATCTAAGTGGTGGTATTATATAACTTTGAGTTTGTTAGGACATTATAGCAATGTAAGATTCAAATCAGGAATAACTCATCAACTGACTTTTCTAATGGAATGTGAAGTCTTGAGGTGAGGTTGATTAACATTCTGTTGTGTCCCATTTAAGATTCTTCAGAGGAAACAGATTCATATAAATTTTAGTGGGCCAAAGTGTTGGTAACATAATTCTCAAATTGATTCAAAGGCCAGGATAGATGTTTCTGAAACTCTGTAGTTCTTTATTTCTGAGAGGTATAATAGCCCTCAGAGAGAGCAGTTAACTCCTATTAATTATTAACAGCTTATAATTATTAATGAGAGAAAACAAACTGACTTGGCCTTTAGGGACAATTCTAGGTTGACCTCAAGTACTCATTTCTATTGATTTCATATAGAAATATATAGACAAATAAGGTGGCCAAATAGTAAGGGTATTTCTTAGGCCATAATATAGGCACAGCTTCTTTTTATTCCTCATTAGAGTTTGGTGTCTGAGGAATTTCTTTCTTTCTTGTCCTGCTGCTTGCAGGAGAACAGCCTGGAGTTACCTTCACCCAGCAGTTGCCCCACCCAGAGGCCTATGACTTAGAAAGAATTTCCTTGAATAGGATTTTCTTTACCATTGGAGTAGCGCATTTAAAAAAAAACTAAAGAAATGGGGAAAAATAATGAAAATTAAATAATAAGAAAGTCTCCTCTATGCTTATGTCTACCTTGCAGTCTTTGTAAAAGGACGGTAAAAAAAATCTTGGCAACAAAACAGGATTTAGAAATTTGTGATCCAATGTCTGCAGTTGTTCTATCTCTATCCTTCACAAATATGAAAAACAGAAGGTAAATGGCATTTATTCTAGAGAAAAGGAGTGGCAACTTAGAGATGAAACTCTTCCTTTATTTAGGTAATAAATGATCAGAATGATTCAAACAAGTTTGGATTTTATGTACCTATCTGTTTTCTTCATAAGGTACTACCTCTTAAAAATACTATCTTAAGCTATTTATGTGTTGCAAACATTTTGAACATATCATATTTTTCATCCACAGATTATTTAAAACACAAACTCACAAAAACACTGATGCATATAATGAGATTTAAAAGTTAAGGCATTTTAATACCTGATAAGATAATAGCAGCTTAACCTGCTACGAGCAGGCCTCCAGTATTTGAGAAAGGATTTCTCCAATATTTGAGAAATACTGGAGTCCTCCAGTATTTGAGAAAACGTCAGTATTTGATGTTATAAGGCCTACAAGAATAGGCCTCCAGTATTTGAGAAAGTCCATTTCTCTGTCTTCACTGCTTTGTTTACCAAACAAGAAGGCAGCTTTACTAGGGAAACACATGGAAGGGTAAGACAGTAAACAAAGAGTCAGGAATAGACTTGATAAACTGCTGGGGTGGCAGACATTGCACCATGTCACAGTTTGAGGTCCATGCATGTGATCATTTTCTTAAATAAATAAATCCAGTTTAAATCAGGTTGTCACAGGTTTTTACAATTCCCTCCTACCAAGCTCCAATATCAAATAAGGACTAGTGTTTTAGAAATCTGTATGCTTCTCCTCGAATTTTTCTTATTGAGATGTAAAAAATATTTTTAAATTAATTACCATTTTAACTATTGTACTTTTGTAATTGACAGAATAATTTCTAATTATTTACATATTTGTAAGAAAGACAAACCAAAACCAAATGCTTATTCTTTTTCTGAAATATGTGTATGTGTGTATATGCATATATTAAATCATATCGTTTTTTGTGAGTAGGAAGAGTTAACCAGCATAATTTTAATGAAGGGTTTTTTGGTTTGTTTATAGGCAGAGACCTTCAAATATTGATTTGTTGTTTGTTTATCATGGGATGCAACAGAGAGGCATAAAAGAGTAACTGAGGAATAAAATCTCTGCTTCACTCATAATAGCCCTGCTTTTGAGGTTTGTGTCTGACCTTTGTAACTGCCTGAATGTAGCTTTTATGGTTTAATCATAATTTGGCAATTCAGAAACATTACTACATATGATATATTTTTTTCTAAGCAATAAAATGCATTCAGAGATGTCAAGTTGGATAGGATATAAAAAGAGGTTGAGATTTCATTGTTATCTGGTGACAGCATGGTAAATTAAGGAGATAATTACTAAGATACCACTAGATCCAGACACAGGAGATCAACTTGCATATCTTTCAGTTTCTTTAGTAGGTTTATTATTATCAACGTTTACACCCTTTGTTTTTTTGTAGTATCAATATGATATCTATCTATATCTATAGCTATATCTATTTATATGTATTTCTGTATCTCGTGACAAACAAGAGCAGATTTAAAGGAGTGATCTTAAAACGGATCACTAATATGACAAGTTCAAACAGATTCAAGCTAGTAAGCTACATTAGAAAGATTATTAGTTCTCAGAAATAATTAGCAGAACTCAGGAGGAATACCTTTCTTTTTTGGACATCTTAGCAACAAAGATCAGATACAGAGACAGTAAAATTGGTTTTTTTTTTTTTTAAGTTTAATCCAAACTTCAGTGTTTTTCAAATCCCCTGCTCAACATAATTTGTTATTCTTTTATAATGTAAACATTTGCTTGATATTTACTAATATTACTTCCTTCTCCCTCAAAAGAAGTCCCATAACATGTTGCTTAGTTTCTAAAACTCAGAACTCCTCTGTTGAATTAATAATGACATCATCAAAGCAAATATTTTTGTAATTTATTACGTGCCAGACATATTCTTAAGTCCTTGCATGGATTACTTCTCTCTCACACACACACACATACACACACACACAAACACACACACACACAAACACACACACACTCCCCTTGAGAAAATAATTCATATCATATCTACTTTTCAAATAAGAAACAGAGAAAGATTAGAGTTAGTGAGCAGGTAGACTGAGTTATGATTACAGACCATAGTCTAGCCTGTGCTATTGACAAAGCCTATGTTACTACATTGGGTTATTATACTAAGTTAACATATGTAACATATTGTTATCCTGCATATTTTTGTAACAGCTTTAAGCTATAATTGATATGCAACACAATTCACCCATTTAAAATGTAGCACTCAATGCATTATGCAACCACAAACACAATCAATTTTGAAATATCCATCACCCTCCAAAAATAAATACCCCTTTTACCTTTAGCTATTATCTCCTCAATACCTCCTAAGAAATCACAACTAAATACTTTGTCTCTGTGAATTTTTCTTTTAATGTACTCATATAATATGTGGTCTTTATGACTGTCTTTCATATAGCCTAATATTTTCATAGTTAAATCATATTGCACTATGTATCAGTACTTCAATCCTTTTTATGGCCAACTAATATTTCAATATATGGATATAACACATTTTGTTTATCCATTTGTCAGTTGATGTACATTTGGTTTGTTTCCACCATATGGCTTTTATGTACAATGACGTTATAAATATTTGTGTGCAACTTTTTGTATAAAGATATGTTTTCATTTTACTAGGGAATATATCTAGAAGTGGAATTGCTGAGACATATGGTAACTTTATGTGTGATTGTTTAAGGAACTACCAGACTGTTTTAGAAAGCAGTTGTAACATTTTACTTCTCCGTCAGCAGCATATGAGTGTTCTCACTCTCTGACTCCACACCTCTCTAACAGTTATTATCTTACTTTTTTTTTCTTTTTTGAGTCAGGGTCTTGCTCTGTTACCCAGGCTGGAGTGCCATGGTGCAAACACGGCTCACTTCAGCCTCCTCCTGGGCTCCAGAAACCCTCCTGCCTCAGTTTCTCTTATAGCTAGGACTGCAGGTGTGTGCCACCAAAACCAAATACTTTTTTAAAAAAATTTCTGTAGAGACAGGGCCTCACCATGTTGCCCAGGCTGGTCTTGAACTCCTGGGCTCAGGAAATCCTTCCATCTTGGGATTGAAGTGCTAGGATTACAGACATGAGCCACTGCACCCTGCCTGGCTTTTTAATTCTAGCCATTCTAATGGGTTACCTAATAGTATGATTGCAAATTTGATTTGCCTTTTCCTCCTGACTAATGATGTTGAACATCTTTATGCATGCTTATTAGCCATCTGTATATCTTCTAATCAGAACTTCTGCCTATAGAGGATATTATGCTAGGTGAAATAAGCAAGACATAAAAAGACAAATACTGTCTAACCTCATTTATATGTGGAATCTAAAAAAAGTCAAACTCATAGAAGTAGAGAGTAGAATGGTAGTTTCAAGGGTCTGGAGGCAAAAGAAAATGGGGAGATGTTGCTCAAACGGCACAAACTTTCAGTGAGACAATGAAAAGTTCTAGGAATCCCATGCACAGCATAGGTGGTGATGGATGTGTTAATTGTAATTATTACACAATGTGTACTTATACCTAATCATCATGTTGTACACATTGAATATATTTAGTCCTCATTTCTCAATTAAATATTTTAAAATAAATAATTATAAAACAAGAACTTTTACCCATTTAGAAAATAATACACTATTTTTTTAAGAAGAGTTCTAGGTGTACAGAAAAGTTAAGGGGAAGTACAGAGAGCTTATATATGTTTGCTCCACCCCTGCACATGGTTTCGCCATTAATATCTTGCATCAATGTCATCCATTTCTTACGATTGAGGAACCAGTATTTTTTTTTTTAATCTACATTCATGGGTACATGTGCAGACTTCCATATATATAAATTGTGTGTCACAGGGGTTTGGTGTACAAATTATTTTATTACCCAGGTAATAAACATAGTGCCCAATTGGCAGTTTCAATCCTCATATTCCTTCCACTCTTCTTTCTCAGGTAGGTCCAGGTGTCTGTTATTCCCTTCTTTGTGTCCATATGTGTTCTGTGTTTAACTTCCACTTATATGTGAGAACATGTGGTATTTGGTCTTCTGTTCCTGCATTAGTTTGCTTAGGATAATGGCCTCTAGCTCCATTCATGTTGCCGCAAAGGAAATTATCTCATCCATTTTTGTGGCTGCATAATATTCCATGGTGTGTATGTACAACATTTTCCTTATCCAGTCTGCCATTGATGGGTATTTAGGTTGATTCCATGTCTTTGCTACTGTGAATAGTGCTGTGATAAACATACATGTGCCTGTGTCTTTATGGTACAATTGATATTCCTTTGATATATACCCAACAATGAGATTGCTGGGTCAAATGGCAATTCTGTTTTAAGTTCTTTAAGAAATTGCCAAACTGCTTTCCACAATGTCTGAACTAGTTTACACTCTCACCAACAATGCATAAGCATGAGAAACTGATATTCATGCACTCCATGGTTTACATTAGGGCTCACTCCCTGTATTTTACAGTTTTATGCATTTTGAAAGATGCATAACTTCACACATCCAGTATTATAGTATCATACAGAAGAGTTTCATTGCCCTAAAAATTTGCTGTGGTCTGTCTTTGCATCCTGCCCTTTCTCCCTCTGAACCCCTGGCCACCACTGACCTTTTTTCCTTTCCAGAATGTCAGATAGATGGGATAATACAGAATTTAGGCTTTTCAGGCTGATTCCTTTCACTTAGCAATAGGCATTTAAGATTATTCCATATCTTCTCATGTCTTTATAAATCATCCAATTTCATTTTATGGATTACCACAGTTTGTTTATCCTTTCACCTATTGAGGAACATCTTGATTGTTTTCAATTTTTGGAAACTGTGAATATGTTGTAAACATTTGTGCATAGGTTTTTGTTTTTGTTTTTGGTTTTTTTTGTGGACATATGATTTCAACTGCAATTGCCGGATTATACAGAAACACTATGTTTAGCTTTTAAAAACTACCAAACTGTTGTATACAGTGGTTGCAACTATTTTCATTCCCACCAGCAATGAATGAGAATTCCTGTTACTTCACATCCTTACTAGCAATTTGGAGTTGCCAGTGCTTTATTTTTTATTCCTTTTTAAGTTTAAAAAGTAGTTTACTAAACAGCTCACATAACATAGGAAAAAGTCCAGAAGGTTACACACCAAAATTCTTACAGAGGTTATATATTTTCATGGTAGGATTAAAAAGGTTTTTTTGGTCTGTTTTTCAAATGCTCTCTGGCCATTTAATTAGTAATTACATCAAAAAGGTCTTGCTTTCATATTTCTAAAGTGAAAATTAACCCTCAGAACGTTTGTCAATTCTAATTGAAGTTTTCATGGTTTTTAACATAAAATTCAAGCAAGCAGAACATTACCAAATAAACACTGGAATTATAAAAGTGCATTTTAGATATTGCTATTTGTTGATGAAATAAATGATAATCAGATACTTTCTTTAAAGTTATAAAATACAGAAAACTAAGCATATAGCTTAATATTTTGTTTCTCAGTAATCTTCATATCAAGGCACATTTGTCATTGTCTGAACTGACTATAATACATCTCATTTATAAAAATATTTGTTGGTTAGCTTTGTTAGTGGAAAGATGAGGAAGTTGGACTTTTGAGAATATACTTGATCAGCAAAGTTAAAATGGAGAAGAGTTGATTTGTTTTTTGAGTTTACATAAGATATACTGTAATTCCTAAAGTCAGAGGTGTACTAAGGGCCAAAAATCCAAACATACTCTAGTTCCATATATGGGCAAAGAAAGACGATCTAGCAATTAGCTAGTCAGGCTTAGCTAAGCCTTTGCAAATTCAGGAGTCCCACAGTAGCTTTCTGTCTCTGTACATAATGTGGCTCCCTTCTTTTCGATTAGAGCTCTCTGTTTTTAAATTTGTATTTTGAAAAAAAATTAAACTTCAATAATACTTGCAGGAATTATTCAGCGAACTTCCACATACCCTTTATCTAGTTTCACCAAGTGTTAACATTTTGCCACATTCACTTCACCACTCTCTACACAGCCATGGTGTTTTACTTTTACTCAACAATTTGAGAGTAGGTTGCAAACATCTTGGACCTCTCTTCTAAACATTAGCATGCATGTCCTAAAAAACAGATGTTCTTTTATGTAGTCCTGATACAGTGATCGAATTCAAGAAGTCAAACTTTGGTACAATGGTATCATATAAATACAGAGTTCACGTTAAATTAGTTTCTAATTATACCAACAATGTTTTCTTTTTTCTCTTTTCTTTAAAACTTTTATTTTAGGTTCAAGGGTACATGTACAGGTTTGCTATATAGGTAAATTGCATGTTGCAGGGGTATGGTGTACAAATTATTTCATCACCCAGGTAATAAGCATAGTACTCGATAGGTAGTTTCTCCATCCTCACCCTCCTCCAACCCTCCACCCTCAACTAGACTCCAGTGTCTGTTGCTTCCTTCTTAACATTTGAATGTGCACGTGAGTGTGTGTTGTCTCTTTATGACATGTAAGAGTTCTTAAATATTCTTGCTATGAGTCTCATCAGATTTATGATTTGCAAATATTTTCTTCTATCTTGTGGGTTTTCTTTTCAGTTTCTTAAGATTGTCCCTTCAGGCACAGAAGTTGTATTTTGGATTAAGTCCAACGTATGTATTTTTTCATTTATTACTTGTATTTTGATGTCATATCTAAGTAACCACTGCCAGTTTGATGGTTAGAAATATGTGTGCCAATGTTTTCTTATTACAAATTTGTACCTTTTCTTCTTACATTTCTATATCTGATCTATTTTGAGTTAATTTTTGTATGTGATATGAAGTATGAGTACAACTTCCTTCTGTGTGTGTGAATATCCAATGGACTCAGCACCATTGATTGAAAATACTGTTCTTTCCCTGTTGAATGCCTTCGCACTCTTGTCAAAATCAATTAACCATGTTTGTTTGTTTTCTCTGGACTCTCAACTCTACTCTATTGATTTGCAAGTCTATCATATGCTGCTGCCATACTACCTGGCTTACTGTTACTTTGTTACAATTTTTGAAAGCAGAAAGAGTAGTTCCTCCATCTTTGTTCTTTTTCATGATTTTTTAGGTTATTTTGAGTACTTTGAGTTCCTAAATTAAATGTAGAACTGCCAATCTTTACAAACAAGCCTGCTGAGATTTTGATAAGAATTCCATTGAATTTGTAGATTAATTTGGGGAATACTGCCATATTAACAGTATTAAGTCTTAAGTTACATTAACATGGATGCCTTCCATTTATTTAGATCTCTAATTATTTCAGTGACATTTTTGTAGTTTTCAGAATATAAATTGTACTGCTTTTGTTACATTTATTCCTAAATATTTTTAATCTGTTGCAAATGAAATTGTTTATTAATGCCATTTTCCATTTGTTCACTTCTGTCTTGCATATTTTTTCAACTCTATTTTGAACATTGTTAAGTACTATAGTGAGTTATATTAAAACTAACAAATATCTGAGTCAGATGTAATCTGATATGTTCTGACATTCTAAATATTTCATTAATAGTTATGAATAAATGATATAAAAGAAAAAATAAATCAATAATATATAAAATATATAAAAGAGAATATGTTCAAGTAGAAATAAAACTCAGTGCTATAAAACTTCATATTAAGGTATAGTAAGAATTTTGAACAGATTAAAATAATTTATCTCTACTTTGAAGGAGAGACCTTCAAAACTGATTTTAGAGCACTAATAAATTAATATATTATATTCCACTCCCAAGATTTGTAATACTAGTTTAAATTTAACTACTTGCTCAATTTTCAATAAAAGATTTTATGTGAAATATTAAGCCTGAAATAATAATTTTCCGATATATTTTTATTCATTTTGTAATAGTAAATCCCAGAAATTAGGAGGTAACAAATTAATACATATCATCTTCCTGGAAGCTGTTATAATAAACAAAGTAGAGCAAATATCCGTTGAAAAGAAAATATTTTCAAGATTGTTAAGTGAAATTAGCTGATATGCAATTTCTGATTCCTTGTGCACATGTATATACAGAGTTTGTTTATGTACCCTTGTTTTTTTGACAAGAAATAGTTCATGGGCAATAAAATATTATTACAAACTACTTTTTGTTTTACATTTTTTTCTCTCTTGAAAAATTAATAAATTTGATAAAAGCAACTAGCTTAATGGAAAATTCAGGCTTCACTTTGTAAAAATAAAATATTCCCTGAGAATTTAATACAGATAGAAGGTGAATTCCTGACATAGAATCAGTCATAAGATCTCAAATCTCCTACTGCTTTCCTCTGCTACTTTTCTGGGAGGCTGAAAACCTTAAAACATATTTAAAACACTGCACTGAAAAAACACTTATGTGCCAGGGAATTGACTTTGCTCTTTTTAAATGCTAATATGTGAGTCAGCCACATTTATATGGGTGTTGACAGAAAATGCCAGATTCCTGGATCAGAAACAAAGAAATCATATCACTATAGTTGTTCTGGTTTCAACTCTAAATCCCACAGGGCAATGCCTAGGGCCAACTGATGCTGGCTTGTGTGGTGGATTATTCCACAGGAGAGGAACTCTGAGCATAAGAAACACATTGATGTAATCACAGCCAGGAAACAAGCCCACTCTCTTTGCAGAGAGAGGCATTTCTGTCCCTCTCCACATCCCATAATACATAAACAGGCCAGAAAAAAAAAATAATGATCAAGGTTCCGGATCCAATAATCCCATTTACATAGCAAGATCTATATGAGCACAATAATTTCATGGTGGACTTCCTCTCAACAGTACATCTTAGGTCATACAATTTATTGACCTTTGGAACATTTTCATATCACTATGCTATTCTGTCAACTACTTTAAATAATGTGACACATAGAGGCTGGAACTAAATCCTTTCAATTTGTTTTATATAAGATTTAGCTAGTGTTCTTATCAACGAGACTCCAAGCAGGAAGATAAGGCTAAGATATAGTGTTTTTCTTAACCATACCTTCAATATTTCATGCCTATCCAGATGGGAAAAAAATCCCATAAATCATTGAGTCTACCTTAGAAAACTAGGAGGCTTTCTTCTTAAATCTCTATTTTGAATTTCCATTTGTCCCAAAGCAATAATCCAACTATTTCAGGATTCATCACTTATTGCACTGATTTTGCCTACATCTGCAAGGGGAAAGTATTGGGCAATTCTATCAACCAAATCCACTATGTCCAGTGACTTAAACCTGACCTGATCATCTTCCAGGCACAAGGTGGTGTTATTGATACTATAAGCTAACATCAGGGAAAATAATCTCATTACATTTTGTAATTGAACAATCCATAACCTAGCAATAAACTCCTACAGGTTGTACATAAATCGTAAGCCAGTCATCACTCTAGTGAACTTTATCAAGCAACTTGGAGTCACCTCCTACTGGAGAGTTTCTTCAGTTGTCTGAGGGCTACCGATAGAATAGAATTAGCATTTCTTAAAAACATGAAATTCTCTTTGACTTCAACAATGCACAATGCATTACAGTTTCAGTAGCAGAAACCTTCCTGCCAGGCTTCCACATAGAAAGTTTAATCATGTTGACACACATGGTGCCCTCAGGATAAACGTGTTATTGTCGCAAGTTGTTTAGAATTTTCACACTAGAAATTTCTTTAGTTGGGAGGGGTGACTTGGTTCCATTTGGTTGCATCAGAGAACAGATCCTTACCATAGGCATCTGCATTAGTAAATCAGACTTTCTGGTTGGCAATAAAGATTTTATTCCCTGACAGTTTACAGCTCCAAAGAGAAGTTTCTTTAATCTTCCATTATCTAGTCTCCCAAGTGGCAGTACAGATGGCTGCAGTGTAGGTAACAGCCTGAGATAATAAAAATGTCCCTAAGTTCATCGAGGTAAGTATTGGCTTGGTTATGGGTACTCTCTTGAGCTCTGCCAACTGAACAGATAGAACATATTGGCTTGGTTATGGGTACTTTCTTCAGCTCTGCCAACTGAACAGATAGACCATATTGGCTTTTGGTTGTATCTAGCTTGTGCCGATTTTGGACAGATGGTTTTCCAAAGCAGTACAATGCACACTATTATATTTCAGCATGGGCAAGCAATCAGTGAACCAGGTCCAAGCATTTAGGGAAACCTCTGTGAGTGGAAAACCTCATTAAGCCAGCAGTTTTACTTAAGGCAGTGAAGTGAGAGACAAATTTCCCTCCAAAGGGGTAGCTTTTACTTTTTAGTATAAATCTGAGATGCTGCTAAGGCCGTGTCAGCTGAACTCCTAAAAATACCATTTTTGTTTCTCTTGATAAGCAAGGCTGGTGGGCCCATCTCACCTTGTTTTTCATTAAGTCTAAGGTGATCCATCACAAGATATGAACATTAAGCTGGAGACTCACAGGCCTGCATGTGACATGAATTCAGCTTTTTCAAAAGAAGTATACTTGGTATTTAGCTCAGACAGGTGAAACCATTGCTCTGGGAAATAGCTTATCCAGTACCATGACTGCAGCCAATTTTCAAGCTAAAATATTGTCTTTGTCCTCCTGTGATCATATATCATTTCTCCTAGGCTACCTGGGAGAGGATAGGAGGGCAGGTTGTAGAGTGAATTACATGTCTCTATCTCTGCACACAATTCTTCTTGAGTGGGAGAATCCTCTCTGACATATATGGACTAAGAAAGTGTGAATATGTAGCATATCAACTATGGGGGCTTAAGCAATAGTCAATTTAACATTTTTTCCTCACTATGGATGCCTTCCAAAGCCTATTTAAAAATTTGTAGTGCCCCTTTCTTCTATGGAACCAGCTAAAATAGTAATTTGGGCACTTAATTCCAGTAGAATCATGAAAATGTGTGTCTTCCATCCTCTTCCCTGGAAAGTTGCCACAATACCCATCTCAAGTATGACTTTGTCCCTACTGGAGACAAGGAGACTATGTACATAGTTTCCTTTAGAGTAAATAAAGTCAGGGTAAAGAAGCGGCCTAGGATCTGGACACACACATACACACACGCATACAGAGAGGTCATTTTCAGCAGCATTAGAGAAAAAGCCTGGGACAGTAAGAGCCTAAATACCAGTCAATGATTCATATATTGTTTCCCACAATAGGTTTTCAGTCTTATAAAACTGTCCTTGTATAAACCATAGCTCCCTTATAGCAGCCAGGACTCACTGCTGAAAACTTAGAGAGGTTTTATTGTCATCTCAAAATATATCAAAGGTTGGCAAAAAGAAAAAATAAAAAACGATAAGAGGAAATGAGCAGTAGGGCTTTCCACTTGCCACTTGCTGTCATTTCTTACTGTTGACCATCATATGCCTCAAACCTGCATGACTCAGGTGAACTAGCCAGTGCTGTAATTATGTGGTTATAGAAGTCATGAATTTCGTGCAGTTCATGCTCACTGTAAGTTTATTTCTCTGTAAATATTGTCATATTGTCTGAAGTTGGTAGAACCTTCCTTCAATCCCTGAAGAAATTTATTGCTAATTGTCACAATGGGGCTGACAGCTGAATTGGCGAGGAGGTCCACATGCCTACAGGAAAGGTGTTTTTGAGCCTACTACCTGCTAGTTGTCCCGTTTATTAAAAAGCTGGATAGTAGAGAGCTATTTGTTGGACAAAAGACTATGTAATTTGTTCAATATATGAAACTCAAGGACTTCCCTTAAATCTCATTAATTGGCTCTATTCCAGAAAGTCATATCTCTATCAGTATCCCATCTGTCTCATAAAAAGTGTAAAGGGATTGACTTTACCCTACTTATAAGTCAATAAATTCATCTGATATAGTCAATGGATGCCGACAGAAGACCCAAGTTTCTGTGTCAGAGGCAAAAAAACTGTATTACTCACAGAATAAATAACAACCAGAGTATTATCAAAGTTGCAATCTGCATGGGCACTTAATTGCCTCATAATAAGAGAAATATGAGCTTAATTTCTGTCACTTTCATCGAAAGCAGTAAGCAATGTTTGTTGTGTAGAGAGAGATATGATATCACCTCTCAGAATTGCCAGTTGCATAAACAATCCTAAGAAAATCATCCCAGGTGAAAGAGTGATGAGGTCTTGCAATTTTAAAATGGTCTGCAAGATGTGCACGGTACAACAGGCCCATAGAGGGCTGACTCCAAACACCATGTAACGAGTATCCAGAGTAAGAAACAGGATATTACCAGCATCTGAAAAACCATCCTTGTGCTACTTCCTTTCAATTACCACTTGCACTCTAAAAGTTTCCTTATTTCTAAATGTATATATATCTTCATTTCTAAATGCATCAATTACATTTTTATACTCAGATAAATTAGGAACAACCAGTATATTCTCATTTGAGTCTGGCTTCTTCTGCTAGAAATTATGTTGATGATATTCATCCATATGGCTGTATATAGTTGTGGATTGTTCATTCTCATTGCTGAATAGGATTCAGTTCTGGTAATATAGGATGCCTTATTTATCCATTCTACTACTGGTTTACATTTCTATAGTTTTCAGTTGGAAGTTGTTATGAGTAGTGTTGATATGACCATTATAATGTATGCTTTTCGATGAACATATTTATATATTTCTATTGAGTATATACCTAGGAGTAATACTATTGGGTCATAGAAAATGCACCATTGCCTAACAGAATTCTAAAGCGATTGTAACAATTTACACTCCCTACAAATATCCAAGTATGAAAAAAACAGTTATTCAACATCTTCTTCAACACATGGCATTTTTCATCATTTTCATTTTAGCCATTCTGGTGAGTGTGTAATGTTATTGTATTGTCGTTTTCATTTGCATTCTCTTGATGACTAAAGATGCTGAGTATTTACCCATGTTTACTGGCAATTTTGATATTCTCTTTTTATAATGTAATCATTCCAAAATTGTCAAATTTTTATGTCTTCCTAATAATTTTTGTAAGAATTTTATATAATTCTAAATCAAGTCTTTTGTTAAATATGAAAATATTTCACATACCTTTTCCAGTCTTAGGGTTGCCTATGTACTTTCCTAATGTTATCTTTTGATGACCAGATGTTCATAATTTTAACACAGTGCCACACACACACACAGACACAAACACACACTTAGGTACTGTGCGTCTTGTTTCTTCAATCTTTGTCTATTCCAAAATCTTGCAGATGTTTTGTGATAATATTTTCTTAGGCTTTTGTTTTATCTTTCATAATTATATTAACAATCCATCTGATGTTGATTTTTTGTGCATGTGATTGGCTAGGTCTCATATTCCAGAGGACATGGCACCATTTATTGAAAAGACTCTCCATTCTTGCTGTGTTCCATTTGTCATAAAACAAGTTACCTTTTATGTGGAAGACTACTACTAGGCTTTCTATTCTATTCTACTGCTCATGTTTTCTATTCTTACACCATTGCCTTTCTGTCTTAATTATCTTAACTCATAATAGGTCTTACTAACTTATGGTACTAATCTTTAGCTATAATTATTTTTCTTTAAGATTACCTTATTTAGCCCAGACAAAAATTGATTTTCATTTTCATAGGAATTTTAGAATCAGCTTTCAATGTCATTACATACATACATGCACACGCATATTTATATATATATATATACACACACACATATATACATATGTACACACACATATATATACATACATACACACACAAAACCTGAGGGGCAATAGGTACTGGGATCTATTTGTGGACAACTGACAACTGTAGAATATTGAGCTTTCTAATTTATGATACTAGAATATTCCTTCATTTATTTAGGTCTTGTTTTATTTCTCTCAAAAATGTTCTATAATTTTCAGTATGGAGGACCTTTATCATTTTTCAATTAGATTTATTATAATAAATTTGATGTTTTTCTTGCTAGTGTGAATATTAATTTAAATTTAATTTTCTCTTATCTTGGCACAGCATAAATAATTATTTTTATATGAATACCTTATGAAGTGACTTTATCAATTTATATTGTGTAATATGTATGTTCTTTTGAAGCCTTTAGATCATATGTTAATGTTGTATGTTTAATTTCTTTCTTTCCAATTCTTATACTTTACATTTATTGATACATGCTCTATTGCACTGACTAGTACCTATGGCACAATATTGAATAGAAGTATCAATACTGAGCATCATAATTTTCTTCTTGATCTTAAGAGGAGATGGGAGTGAATGTTTCATTATCGATCATAATACATCTCAGTTTTGATGTAAATATTATTTATCTCTTTAAGAAAGTTTCCTGCTTAGTCTATTGAATTTTAAAAAGCATATAAATGAATGTTGATTGTTGTAATTTTTTCTGTATCTATCAATTCTGCCTCTCTATATCTTATGTCAATCTCATTTTTTCATTAATCTATGAAATTATTTTGGTTTAAGTGATTTTCATATATTAAATAATTTATTATTCTTGTAGATTAAATTCTACTTCATTATTATATATTTTCCTCTCTAACATGTCAATAGATTTGACTTGATAATGCCTCAATTAGTGCATTAAAAGTTGCTTTTTAATTTTTTTCTTGTAATAGTCTGTCAAGTTTTATACTTAAGATTTTTATGGTCTTGCTTAGGATTGTCTTCACTATACGGGCTCTATTTTGGTTCCATATGAAATTTAAAGAATTGTTTTCTAATTCTGTGAAGAAAGTCCATGACAGCTTAATGGGAATGGCACTGAATTACTTTGAGCAGTACGGCCATTTTCACGATATTGATTCTTCCTATCAATGAGCATGGAATGTTTTTCCATTTGTTTGTGTCCTCTCTTATTTCCTTAAGCAGTGGTTTGTAGTTCTCCTTGAAGAGGTCCTTCACATTGCTTGTAAGCTGTATTCCTAGGTATTTTATTATCTTTTCAGCAATTGTGAATGGGAGTTCATTAATGATTTGGCTCTCTGCTTGTCTATTGTTGGTGTCTAGGAATGCTTGTAATTTTTGCACATTGATTTTGTATCCTGAGACTTTGCTGAATTGCTTATCAACTTAAGTAGTTTTTGGGCTGAGATGATGGGGCTTTCTAAATATAGAATCATGTAATCTGCAAACAGAGACAATTTGACTTCGTCTCTTCTTATTTGGGTACCGTTTATTTCTTTCTCTTGCCCAATTACCTTGGCCAGAACTTCTAATACTATATTCAATAGCATTGGTGAGAGAGGGCATCCTTGTCTTGTGCTGATTTTCAAAGGGAATACTTCCAGCTTTTGCCTATTCAGTATAATGGCTGTGGGTTTGCATAAATAATTCTTATTATTTTGAGATATGTTCCATAATGCCTAGTTGAGATTTTCATGTGAAGGGATGTTAAATTTCTGCATCTATTGAGATAATCATGTGTTTATTTGTCATTGGCTATGTTTATGTGATGGATTACATTTATTGATTTGCATGTGTTGAACCAGACTTGCATCTCAGGGATGAAACCAACTTGATTGTGGTGGATAAGCTTTTTGATGTACTGCTGGATTCAGTTTGCCAGCATTTTATTGAGGATTTTCACACAGAGCTGAAGACATCACACTACTGCACTTCAAACTATACTACAAGGCTACAGTAACCAAAACAGCATGGTACTGGTACCAAAACACATATATAGACCAATGGAACAGAACAGAGCCCTCAGAAATAACACCACACATCTACAACCATCTGATCTTTGACAAACCTGACAAAAATAAGCAATGGGGAAAGGATTCCCTATTTAATAAATGGTGCTGGGAAAACTGGCCAGCCATAAGCAGAAACCTGAAACTGGACCCCTTCCTTACACCTTATGCAAAAATTAACTCAAGATGGATTGAAGACTAAAATGTAAAACCCAAAACCATAAAAACCCTAGAAGAAAACCTAGGCAATACCATTCAGGCTATAGGCATGGGCAAAGATTTTATGACTAAAACACCAAAAGCAATTGCAACAAAAGCCAAAATTGACAAATGGGATTTAATTAAACTAAAGAGCTTCTGCAGAGCAAAAGCAACTAGCATCAGAGTGAACGGGTAAGCTACAGAACGGGAGAAAATTTTTGCAATCTACCCATCTGACGAAGGTCTAATATCCAGAATCTACAAGGAACTTAAATAAACTTACAAAAAAAAAAAAAAAACCCACAACCCCATCAAAACCCATCAAAAAGTGGACAAAGGATATGAACAGACACTTCTCCAAAGAAGACATTTGCGAGTCCGACAAACATATGATAAAAAGTTTATCATCACTGATCATTGGAGACATGCAAATCAAAACTACAATGAAATACCATCTCATGTCAGTCAGAATGGTGATTATTAAAAGTCAAGAAACAATAAATAGATGCTGGCGAGGCTGTGGAGAAATAGGAATGCTTTTACACTATTGGTAGGAGTGTAAATTAGTTCAACCATTGTGGAAGACAGTGTGGCGATTCCTCAAGGATCTAGAATCAGAAATACCATTTGACCTAGCAATCCATTACTGGGTACACCCAAAGGATTATAAATCATTTTACTATAAAGACACATGTATATGTATGTTTATTGCAGCATTATTTACAATAGCAAAGACTTGGACCCAACCCAAATGTCCATCAATGATAGACTAGATAAAGAAAATGTGGCACATATACACCATGGAATACTATGCAGCCATAAAATTGAATGAGATTATGTCTTTTGCAGGCACATGGATGAAACTGGAAGCCATCATTCTCAGCAAACTAATACAGGAACAGAAAACCAAACACTGCATGTTCTCACTCATAAGTGGGAGTTAAAAAATGAGAACACATGGACACAGGGAGGGGAACATCACACACCGGGGCCTGTAGGGGGTTCGACGAAAAGGGGAGGGAGAGCATTAGGACAAATACCTAATGCATGTGGGGCTAAAAACCTAGATGATGGGTTGATAGGTGCAGCAAACCACCATGGCACATGTATACCTATGTAACAAATCTGCACATTCTGCATATGTATCCCAGAACTTAAAGTAAAATTAAAAAAGGAAAAAAAGAAAAAAGATTATTGTGGTCTTAAATAAAAATTAAAAATATTTCTCCATTTTTATTATCTGGAAGGCTTTTGAATAATAAATATGTAATTAGGAAAAGTCATGTATGAAACCTTCAACTTCAAAAATATGTTATCATCATTCTGCTATGAGTTCAATTGTTTTATTTTTTAGCTCCGATAAATGAGTGAGGATATGTGAAATTTTTCTTTCTGTCCCAGGCTTATTTCACTTAACATACTGACCTCCAGTTCCATCCACGTTCTGCAAATGACTGAATCTTATTATTTTTTTATGGCTGACTAGTACTCTATTAAGTATATTATGGTTACTAGAGGCTGAGATGGGCAATGGAGAGGGGAGACGTAAAGTGGGGATGGTTAGTGGATGAAAAAATATAGTTACATAGAATGAATAAGATCTAGTAAATGATGGCACAACAGTGTGACTACAGTCAACAATAATTTATAGTACATTTGAAAAGAACGAAAAGAATATAATTAGAATGTTCCTAACACGAGGAAATGATAAATACTGAGATAATGTATTCCTATTTACCCTGATGTGTAACTACACATTGTATGCCTGTATTAAAAATCTCATGTGCCCCATAAATATATATACCTACTATCTACCTATAAAAATTAAAAATTAAAAAAATGTATTTTACCACTGAAAGACCTCTTGACTTAAATTTCTTTAAGGTTGGATTTTAGCAAATAATTCAATCTATTTAATCTATATAAGTTATTCAGATCTGTCTTTATTTCTTAAACATTAATAAGTTGTATTTTAGCCAGGTTTTCTATTTTGCTATCATGAGATCCTTTCATCTTTTTAAAGTCTGGAGGATCTGTAGAGATTCTTTACTTTCATTCGTAATACTGGTAATTTTTCCTTGCTTCTTACATTCCTCCCTCACTTCTTTCTCCCTCTTTTCCTTCTGAAACACCCTCCGCACTTGTTCTCTTCCTCTTCTCTTCTTTCTCTCTTCTTTCTTTCATCAGACTAGCTATGGATAGACCAATTATATTCTTCGTCTTAGGAAGCAACATTGGTCTTTTTGGTTCTGTTTGTTGTATGTTCAATTGATTTACATCCATAGAATAGATTGTTTATTGTTTATTTTCTTCTACTTTTGCTAAGTTCATTTTTATATTTTCCTAATTTATTTCTAATATAGAACCTTAAGTTTACAAATGTTAGCTTTTCTCGTTTCAATTTATCTTTAGACACTGCTTGAATTTATCAATTTATTGAAAGTTATCTTTAAATACCTTAGACACTGCTTGAGTGGAAGGCTATAGAATGTGACATGCTATAATTTCATTGTTGCTCATTTCAAAACATTTTCTAATTTTGATTTGACTTTCCATTGATGCACATAATGGTTTTACTTGCAAATGAACAAGCCTGATATTTACTCCTATGTAAGAGAACTTCCTTATTCCTATAACATGGGATGCTGGAAAATGTGGACTGGGTGAATTGGTCAAAACAGTTGTCTTACAAATATCATTTTATTTGTTGCTATATTTTCCCAACTATGGAAGCTTACGCTGCAATAATAAACAAGCTTAAAATATCAACAGCTTTTCAGAACATATGTTAATTTCTTGCCCACCCAGAGTCTTCTGCAGTTTTTGGTAAGTGCCCAGGGTCAACCCCCAAGCTGTTTAAATCTTCCTACTCTACTGTCTAAACATGGGCATTTTACATTATCCATGGTAAGGGAAAGAGACTGGTGACTAACTTGTAAACTGTCTCAGTCTCAGGCCATGTATAATACACACACCTGTCAGTCATGTTTTAGTTACAAGGACTACTCCTGTGAAAAATATAAGTATCTGGGAAATTAGATTTTGTGTCTATTCAAAGAAAATTGAGAGACAGATGTCAATAAATATCAGTAATGCCTACCACAGTTGGAAAAGATTGCTTCATAAATTCTGGACGTTTTTTGTATTGGGTTGGAAATTACTTCTGAATCCCAAATTATCTATGTAAAAGGTATATTTATTTGTTTATATAATTTTATTAATTAATAAATATGATTTTATTAAGACTAATACCAGTTAGTATTCTGATGTTCAAAATGTTTGGCTTCGATCCAAATGCAGCCAATGGATAGAACTTACTTTGCCCATATAGTGCTAAAAAGATTGATATATTTATAAACCAAAAATATCCAGACTTTTTGTCATTTATTTAAAAGCAATTACAGTAGCAATTATATGAAGCCGAACAGTAAAAATCATTTTTTTGATAGCTTAAGAGTGTTTTATTTTACTTAATTTCTCACCATTATCTGCATTTCATGCACTGCTTGTTAAATCCTGGATTAAATTAATGATCCCAAAATACTCTTACATATGTATAAATATTATAAATATCAATCCTGTGATGAGAGATATTTTTAATTGCTTTAACCAACATCACTGGTTAGTCTTCAATCAAGTGAGAACTTATGAGTACAAGTAAGAGAAAGTGTGTTAGAATGTTTGTGCTTAATTATTAATATCAAATAATGGTGACAATACGTTCAAAAACTAAAATAAACATGTATTGAATTTAACAGAAAAATAATTGTTTGCACTTTTAGTTTGTTTTTCATTTTTAACTCGATGAGCCATCATGTAAAAGAGATAGGTTTTTTAAAAATAAAAATATAGAAGGTATACTATTTAAATGGCTCATGTCATTATATTTTGTTATCTTGGGGATCCATTTGACGAACCATTTGACACAAGTTCTAAATTTATTTTGTGTTTTTATCATGTATGTATTTTAACTCCAAAAACTACCAAATAAAAACACTTATTTACTTTTTTGATTTTTTTAATCCAATATTATCTATATTATTTTTCTTATTTTATTGTAGCACACTAATATTTTTGGGGGTTTTTTGGTTTGCTTTTGTTTTGTTTTGTTTTTAATCAGATACCTGACTTCAGCCTCATGGAACTTTTTATTACTTTCTACTTGTACTCTGTTTGCCTGCATGTCTACTAGCTAATTTCCTCTGGTTTTTCACAGCATCACTGTAGTAATGTAGAAAATTTGGATGCAGAGGTTCCAAATGGCAATTAAAAAAATTGTATACTTTGTTCTATTGTATTTTTTTAAAAGTGTGCTATATATTTGTGGACGAATATTAGTGCCTCACATTGAAATGAGAAAAGTAAGTCTGGAAAATTTCTGGAGTCAGCTCTGACATGAAAGGAGCCTGGAAGTCATCACTGCTGTTCTTATAACAAGAAGAAAGGAGAACACTAGTATCAAAGACTTTTTATGGACTCAGAAAATTGAAGTCACAGGGAAAAACACCAGCTGAAAATCTAGAATACAGAGAATCATAGCCAAAATCAGCTTACAGGGAGCAGAAGTTAGTGGATCTGATGGGACTGAATGGTAACTTTGACAAATCACTAGGGGTGGTATATAATCTTGTAAGAATAAAAATTTCTTGGGGCCACAGTCTTACAAAGCTCTATACTTTTATGGAATTTACCTCCTATTACTCCTGAGGTTTTGATGGTAAAGATACAAGAAAAACCCTTCCACTTCTGGCAGGGTGAGGGGAATAGCAGCCATTGTGAAATACTCCCAAAGTGTTCAGCAACAAATGTATGGTCTGCAAAGGAAGATAAGTTAGACAACTTTGTCTCTGACTAGACTTCCTTTCTCACCTCAGGGAGGAAAAGCAGGGAAACTTAAGTTCACATCCAAGGAACACAGTTTAACCAAGAGAATTTGCTTTGATCATACGAATAGTAATTTGTATAGTATAACTTTACAAATAATAATAACAGTCATTGCATATAATAAACAAATAACAATACATTGTTAATAATAGTAACAATGAATTGGGTGATGGTAGTATATAAATAAGTGAAATGATTATAGCAATATTATAAGGGATGGAAAGAAAGAATTGGAAATAGTATGTTATAAGCTATATGCAATACTTGTGAAGGGTTAATAGTGTTATTTAACAGTGGGATTCGGTTAGTTGTAAATTCAAGTATAGAGCAATCAATTAAAAGCTACAAAAAGAAGTAAAATTGATATGCTAAGAGAGTAGAGAAAATTGAATCATGTAAAATTCTCAATTAAAACCAGAGAAGGCAAAAAATAAAAGGTCAAAAATAAATAAGATTACAATTTTTTTATAAAAAAGAATAAGGTCAACAAGTAGAAAACTTTTATAAACATGGTAGATATAAAATCAACTATATCAATAATTACTTTAAAGGTGAATGATAGAAACACAAAACTTAGAAGACAGAGATTGTGAGTTTGGCAATGAGTTTGTAGATAAAATACCAAAAGCATGATCCATGAAAAAATTGATTAGTTGGATTATATTAAAATTAAAACTTTAAATCTGCCAATGATCCTATTAAGATAATTAAAAATATAAAAATAATTATTAAAACTCAAAAATAAGAAAACACGCCAATTAACAATATAAAAATGATCAGAAAAACATGTCACCAAAAAAGTATACACATAGACAAGAAGCATATTTGTACCATAACTTTGCTCATTATCGTGTTTTCACAGAACTTCAGATTGAAACAACAGTGATCTATCAATATAAAATATTTTTAAAAAACTGAAAATACCAAATGCTAGTGGTTCTCAGGAGACAAAAATTGTAATTTAGAGGCTATTAAGAAGGTCAACATTTCAAACTCTAAATTCAATCTCTGATGGCCTAATGCAAAAAGTTCAGGAAAAAACAGGAAAGAGATCAGACAAATGCTGTTGGATTGAGTCTGCTGGGTGAGGTGGCTCATAATTGTAATCTCCTGCTTTGGGAAGCCTAGGAGGGAAAATTGAGGTACATTGCCCCTAATCTAATTATCTGTTTGGTGGATTTAGTAAAAATTCCTTGAGGAAAGATCACATTATTCATGGACTCTACAATTTTTCACACACTTTTTCAAATATTCATTATAGTTAAGACTTTTCTAAAGCATGAAAAGGTAACCATCAAGAAGTCATGAGCATAACCATGGTAATCACATCAATGAAAAATATGCACACCCAGGGAGAATGTTCAGAGAGAGGACAGCCGTGAGCTACCTTTTGGAGAATCGCAATACTGAGAGAGGGAAAGAAGGGAAAGAAGAGAGTTGTTATTCTATTTTTAATGTGTGTTCCTTCAAGTATTTACACAGAAGTTTCTAGACTCAGTAGCTTTGGTTTGTTGGAAGAGATCTTTTTTCTATTTATTTCATTGAATATAGTAATGATTCATGAAAATAAATTATACACTTCTTAAAAATGATTAGCTTACTTCCAGTTGATAGAGAAATTTTTATTTTGAGTACTGGAATCAGAACATTTGGAAACGTAAAAATGCCTTATGCGATACTTGGCTAGATTATCTAACTTTTATGGAAAGTCTAAAGGCCAAAAGATGTAGAAAAATATGCAATGTATGCATAAGGGAGAAAAATTAATGATCCAAATCTTGGAACTATAAGATATGAAAAGCTTAAAGGGATGATGACTAGGTAGCTTGAGAGAATATTGCTGGCGGGCGACTTAATAACTTGTATTCTGTATAAGAATGGTCATTATATTTTTAAAAATGAATCCTTTTTGAAGCAAGAGCCAAGGAAGCTGTATTTAATTATGGCAAGATAGGTGTACATTTCACTGAATGAAACCATTTCAGCGTTCAGAATAGTTACTAGCAAAATGAGTCTCTAAAAGTCTTTTTTTTTTCTTTGAATATTTAACATAATACCGACTTTGGACAGGTAATATGTAATTCTACCTTTAAAAATAACAGAATGTTAAGGGAAATTAAAAATTGGTAGTTTAGAAAGGACTTCTATAAATTCAATTTAATGCTGAAGTTATCATGTAATTAACAGATCTGTTTCACCAACAACTGACCTACAAGCTGTGGCAATTATAATAGTGAAATTAGTTATTAGTAAGCTAATAAGAACAGTTTAAGTGTAAATCTAAATGTATACATATACATATGAATTACAAAATATAATTCAACAATATTTTTAGGGTAACATTAGGCATACCCTTTTAATCTAATAATCTCATTCTTGGAAATTTTTTTATTAGAAATGAAATCACAGGAATGTAAAAAATAAGATATTTTAGCATGCGCAAAATGTTTATTGTAGTATGATTTACAGTTTCAAAAACTTGCAAAACAAAGGGAATGGTTGTCAATAAAATTTATGAAATGATTTTATATACCAATCAATATACATTACTCAGTTAAAAATTATAAATTTAAAATTTACCAGAAACATTTGCAGAGGCAATTGTTGAGTGAGAAAATGTAAAACGAATGCGGAAAGGTGGAGGTATGATTACATTTTAGTAAAAATAACACTCTGGTCATGCATATAAATATGTGCACATATACATCTGCAAATACTTACATGAGCACGGAGATTACAATAGAGGTTGTTGCTTGTCAACATGGGTTGATAGAATAAATAATGAGGAAGAAATGGGGAGTGAGAAGCCAGCCTCCTCCCCAGAAAAGACAAAACAACATTATGCTGACTCAAAAAAGGGTTTGAGCCGGGCGCGGTGGCTCATGCCTGTAATCCCAGCACTTTGGGAGGCCGAGGCGGGAGGATCACGAGGTCAGGATATCGAGACCATTCTGGCTAACACGGTGAAACCCCGTCTCTACTAAAAATACAAAAAAATTAGCCGGGCGTGGTGGTGGGCGCCTGTAGTCCCAGCTACTCTACTCAGGAGGCTGAGGCAGGAGAATGGTGTGAACCCAGGAGGCGGAACTTGCAGTGAGCCGAGATCACGCCACTGCACTCCAGCCTGGGCGACAGAGAGAGACTCCGTCTCAAAAAACAAAGGGTTTGAGTACATTATGATGCTTTACATAAATTATATTTAAAAAATAAAATCTAAAATAATTTTAATGATGTATCACATACTTCAAACTTATACGTTGTTCATGTGATTATGACAAAGAACATCATTATGAATTATTGGTGGAAAGATGAATGCAAAAGTCACGGAACGCTGATGAGAGAGGCAAAAGAAAAAAAAGCACCCTATTGTCATGGCGCACTAGTATTAATATTACCTAACAAACTCAGATATAAAATATTTTTTCTGCTTTTTTACTAAAATTAAATAAATGATAAATACAATTAAATAAAATATGATTGAAAGTGTTTGTTCTCTTGAGAAATTTAATATTAGTCATTTTGTGGCTAGTTGATGGGGTTTCCCAGCTCAGGGGTTAGATAAGAATCTAAGAAATTTGGAAAGCACCTGAAAAGTAGACAAAAACACGTTTAATGTTCAGTACTGCAATATCACTGTGACCTAGCTTGCATCTGAAAACTGGGTTACTTTAGTAATAAGACACAATTAAAGCACCAGATTTGTTCCCTTTACAGCAGTCCATTTTCTCTATGCATACCCCATCTTTGCCATATCCATCATTTATTCTTGACCTTATTATATTGCTTCTAGGGGGTCAGTCTCAGAATCTAATCTTCTTGGGGTATTGATACAGTTTCTAGTCTGTGGATTTTACCAAATAGCACTTCCCCCTACTTTAGTAAGGAGCTTAACCTGCCAAAAAAAAAACCAAAGACCCTGAATGAAGCTGATTTCCAAGCAGTAAGAAAGTTCTTCCCTGAAGCAGGAAACACTCAAGCCCAGAATGTAAGGAGAAAAATCAAGAAAAAAAGAGCAAATTAATATATGAAGAAATCTTGCCAAACATATTTTCCCTAATAATCAATTTTTAGTTTGTACTTCATCAAAATGGAAGTTCTTACTAGAAGAGTTTGAAGACATCTCTCAGTTAACTTGGGTCCCAGAATAATAAAGCTACACACACAGCATATAAGAGTGATAATACTGCTATTCTGTTTGCAAAACTTAATAGCTTAATATTTTATTTCTTGATAGCATATTTCCTTTTTTCACTGAATAATGTTTTATTGTGGGAATTTACCCGTAGTTTGATCTGCTGACCTGTTTAAAAACATCTTGGTTGCTTCCAGTTTTTTGTGATTTTGAATAAATCTAGTAAAGATTCTCTTGCAGGATTTTTGTGGGATAAGTTTTCAAATCACTTGAATAAACACCTAGAAGCATGATTTCTAGATTTTATGGTAATACTATAGTTTTGTAAGAAACCACCAAACTATCTTAAAAAGTAACTAACTTTGTTCAGTACCATTAATGAATGAGCTTTCTTGTTGCTCTGAATCTGCTCCAGTTATTGGCATTGTCACTTATTGTTTGTTTGTTTGTTTTTGCTTAATTTTAGATATTCTAACAGCTATGTATAAGTATCTCATTGCTGTTTTAACTTACTATTCTCTAATGACAAATTATGTTGTGCATCTTTTCAAATGCTTATTTCCATCTGTATATCTTCTTTGGTGAGGTGTTTAGACCTTTTGCCAATTTTTAAATTGAATTGTTTATTTTAATATTATTGAGACGTATGTGTTCTTTTTATATTTCGGATAATGGTATAGTGTCAGATTCACATTTTGCAAATATATATTTCATCTGTGGCTTGTCCTTAGATTCTCTTAATGGTGTCTTTTGCAGAGCAGATGTTTTTAATTTAATAAAAGTCAACTTGCCATTTTTTCTTTTATGGATCATACCTCTCATGGTTAAAAATGTACTGTCAAACTCACAACCGCCTAGATTGTCTCCTATGCTTTTGTCTAGACGTTTTATTGTTTTATGTTTTATAACAAGTTTATGACTCCTTCTAAGCTAATTTTGTAAACTTGTGTAAAGATTGTTTCCTGATTCATTTAATCATATCCAGTAATTCTATCATCATTTGTTAAAAAGACAGATTGTCTAATTTGTCTTATTTTCAGATGGTATAGATTGGATTACTTCTACTCCTTTGTTACTGATCTGTTGACTAGATGAGTATGCTTCTATTTCTGGACTATTGTGTTGACCTGCAGTTCTTGTTTCATCAACACCACACTCTCTAAATTATTGTACTTTTTAAGAAATTATTGAAATTGGATAGTGTAAGTCCTTTAACGTTTTTCTTCTTTAGTATCATGTTGGCTAGTCTACCTCCTTAGTCATTCCATATAGATTTTAGAATCAGTGTGTCAATATTGACAAAATAGCTTGTTGTGATCTTGCTGAATATCACGTTAAATCTCTGAATCATATGTTATAAAAACTGATATCATTACCGAGGAACATGAGATATACTTCTCGATTTTCATATATTCTTTAATTTCTTTCATCCAAGTTTTGTAGGTTTCTGCACAATGTTTTCAATTTAATATTTTCATTTGCTTTGTCACAGCAGTTAGGTTGAAATTTGAACTATATTCTTAAATGCCTTCCTTATAATTGTTTCATTTTTATTCACAGATAATAGTTTAAAACCTTCAACTTTCCAGTTTCTATTTATACTTCATGTGCTGCGTAATTATTACCTCATTCCCACATCTTAACGTCTCCTGTAAGAGGTTTATTCTATAACCTTTCATTGGAAACTCATACTTTCTTACCCATTGTGAGACCTTGGTTCAACTCTATCATTCCACCTGCTGTGGCTTCAATCTCTATTTCATATTTTTCATTTACCTTCAAACTGCACATATTACTAAATTCTTTCAGTCTGAAGCAAAACTCACCTGTAACTTAAGTTAAATAAGTTGCCTTTTCTTAACTGTTACTAAGAAAAGAAGTTGCTATGGAAGCCTTCTTCACACTCAATTTCTTAACCCATGAAATCTGGACACACAATAGAAACTTTGCCACAGTCATTTGTGAGTTATTTCCCCCAAACAATGGATACTTTAGAGTAAACATGTCTCTTGGTCAGTCATGAAAACTCTCTTCTCTTGATTTAGAGACAGCTACTCTCTTCTGGATCATCTACCTCTGCTGCCACTACTGCTAATAGCCACTGATGGGTGGGTATTCTGCAACATACCTCTTTTAAATCTTTTCTTCCCCTAACAATATCCGACTTAATCAATGGCAATACTGCTCAAGGCCTGCAAGCCAGAAATGTGAGAAGCACCCCAGACTCTTTCTAATCCTCTCTTTCTCATAATACATAATTAGCTAAAAAATAAGATATTTCAAATTCATTTCCTAAGCCCCACTGTGATTACCTTAGTTCATGCTCTCATCATTTCTTGTAAGACTCATGTTAAAGCTTCTTAAGTGGTTTTCTTACTTCTAATTTATCCCCTTAATATATTCCACACATTGTCTACAAAGCATTCCTTCCAAAGTGCACATAAAATACATTTCTTCTCAGCTTGTTTTTCTTCAATGCTTCACCATTTCCTTGGACACAATTTTCAAACTTCTCCTTATGCCCTTTTCTGGAAGTTTCTCTTCTAGATCCCTCGCTTATTAGCTATGTGATCTTTGACAATTTATAAACTCACATGTTATTAGGCTTATCATGGTAAAATTTGGTATCATTTCCTACATCAGAGTGTTTTTGGAAAAAAGTAAGATCTTAGCTTTTCTTTGGATATGTGGAATTCTGTTGGGTTTTGTTTTTCTTTTCTCTTAATGACTGCTATTATAGATTAATTTCAAAATTCTAAACACAATAGAATACTTATGGTTTGTAACATATATTCTATTTTTCTCTTCTCCTGTACTCAATGGTAGCTATTCTTTTGCACTTTTCCATGACTGATTCCTACTTATCCTTCAAATATTTATTTGGAACTATTCTCCTAATGCCTGTTGCAGAGATCTGCTTTATTCTCTGAGTACACTATTCATTCACCTATTTAATATCTTTTTATTTTTTTCTTTTGTGTGTGTATTTATGTTTTATTTTTATTTTTGTATTTACAGTATATTGTGCTGGCACAACCATGTTTAGCTGTTAAACTCTGCATAAAACCCCAAGAGACAATGTTGATGTAGACAGCGATATGTTTGGCACTTCCCAGAATGGTCAGGAACTCTGCTTCTTTTTGAAACTTATAAAAACATTCTAGTTACCATAAGCATGGTAAACTAAAATTAGACAATGATAAAGAAGAAGAAATAAAGAAGAAGGCAAGAGAAAAGTGAATCAAAAAGCTGAAGAGCTTGTTAATGAAATCGTTAATAAAAACAGATCACAATAAAAAAAGAAAAGCAGGAATACTAATGTAATCTCTGGCATCTTTCTAAGACCTCTCCCCTCTATTTCTCTTCATCCTGAGATAGCCCTCTAATACTTTTAGAGCCTATCTCCAGTAATTTGTAAATAGATTATCAATACTGATGCACCTGTGATGTGCTTCTGTGACTACTTATCTCATCTCCAAGGCTACCAATGTACATCATAGACTAGGAGACTAAAATTATTTGAGCACCTACTATGTTGTAGAATGTATATAAAGAAATTTTTCAAAAGTTATTAATTCATCACAAATACCTCTGTAGTCAGTATTATATGTTTTGCAAGAAAGAAATAATTTCAATTAAATGTCTCATATAAGCAAGCTTTCTGAAAAGGACTTGAATGGAAGCCCATAGTCTTCCCACATCAACACATTTCTAAACTCCTCTATACTCTTCAAACACCCACACATATATTCTTCCTCACAATTAGACACATGTATATCATTGTGCATCTATACATGGCATATACAAACTAAAAATATGGAACTAACATTAGATGAACTTTTCTATCCTCTGAGTTCTGTGAAACCTCAAGGCTGAAGACAACAGATTGCTAAGTACCCACACATTTTTAAAGGGCACTACCAGCTACATTATCTTAATACTGTTTAAAATATTGTCAAACATGCCTGGAATGATTACCAATTATGCATGACCACTTTTAACATACACATAAGAAATTAGAAATAGAAACTAATGTGAAAATGTTAGTAATATTAGTAATATCAAAAGTAAGTTCTTTGTATTTTCTTCCTTCCTTCCCCCAGAGCGAATGGGAGGAAAGCAAGTGTTGTGAAACACTCACTAAGGACTCTGTCTTTAGAAAGTACTTGATATTTGTTGACCTACCAAATTTCACAGCCTTTCCCTCCTGCACTGAGTGTAGGTAGAAAGTCCTTGGAAGGCTCCCAAAGTTTACCTGGAAGTGTAGATGATCACAGTTGAAGGCTAAACCTTGCTTTCTTATTGGAGAAACTTAAATTTGAATTGTGGATGCAGCATCTGGAAATCAGAGGATGACTAGAGTTTAATCAAGGGACAAACATTACTTCACCTGCCTGTTCTAGGAAAGGGTGAAGCAATCTATACATCTCGTGGTCTGGTTCAGCTGTCTTGAAATATACAAGCCCAAGAGATTGTCTCTGAGGGCAAGAAGACCCAGCTTAAGGGGCTGTGAGATGCATTGCAGGCAGGGAATTTCATTGGGGCACTGTCACAAGAGGCCCATGGAGTAAGGTGTAGCCCAATTAAGGTATTGTCCAGAGCTGAAGCTCCACGGGGATGTCTGAAAAAACTTTTACTTGCACCCTTCAGCAAAGTGAGCATTTGAGAGGTGTGACACAGAAGATACAGATCTCCCACCAGACTTTTGCATTTCTCTCTAATACCCCTTCCAATAACTCTATTGTGATGGAGATATGTGAAGGTAACTATGGAAGAACAGGTAAAAATAGACTGTATTTCCCTGTCCCTTTATGATGGAAATTCAAGAAGCTTGAGTCAGTCTTTGAGTCATGTATATAATTTCCAGTTTTTAACTGTTCCAATGTCTTTGGTTTATAATTCTGTTTGGTGCAAAGCTGATACAACATAGGGTTCAAAGAAGTGTGTATGAGTCCACATAACAGTTTGCGGACTAAACATACAACCCAAATACAATGACCACACAACCCCATTTAATGATGATATTATTATTACTAGCATAACTATGTATTATAGTGTTATTTTCCTTTTATGTTTCTGAATAAAAAATAAACTAATAAAAGTAAAGTATTTTTAACCACAAGTGTCACATATAATTTTATATTTTGTTGCTCTTTACAATTCTAAAAAAATGGCTAATTTCTCTGCATTGTTAAATTATCTGCCATTCCTAAGAAGTTTCCATTCTTTATTTAATTTCTTATATTTCATTTAATATGTTTACAAATTAAACAGATAAATGAGTATAGTCTTATGTGTGTGGTTATATTTTTCTAGTTAATTTCATTGGGAGACTATCTTATTTGCCTCAGAATCAGTACATCTTTATGTCTTTGATATTATGTCTGACATATTTTTCTTCAGTCTACACTTAAAAATTTTCCAGGAAATATATGATTTTTATTCACAAATATTTAAGTGATATTAAAATATGACTCAAATGATAATAAACGAACAAGGTGAGAGCAAACATAAATTGCCGAGAGATTGACTTTTCACATGAAGAAGATTAAAGAAAGTATCAATTTATACCTCTAAGTAAAAGTTCACTTTATCTTGACATTATACTAACTATAGTAGTAGTTTATGATAACTACTAAATTTACTAGTATTTGAAAGTGTACTGTTTTATCTATATTAATATTGAATAAATCGTTATTCAACTTTAAATATTTAATTTCATTAAAAATTACTTAGCCATTAAAACGAGGATATTCACTACTAATGGAACAACATCTCTTTTGTATTGAAATGGAGAAAATCACCAAAATTAAAATAAGAAGAATATTATATTGATGGTGAAACCTCAATTTTCTCTAGACTAAATAATAAACTGATTATTTTTAATTTGTTATTTTTTATTACAGAAAGTTTCAAGCATACACAAAAGAAGGGAAATAACTAATTAATCATATGTAAGTTACAACTCAGTTATAATAATTATGAATATTTTACAATTTTTGTCTCAATTATTTCTCTTAAAACTTCTTTTCTGGAGTGTTTTAAAGTAAATGCCAAACCAATAATTTCATCATACAAATATTTATCTCTAATACACAAATATGTTTTTTCTTCTATATTAACCTTTTTTCTTACATATTAATAAAAATATATAATGTTTTAACAATAACAACAACATACCTATCTTTCATATATACTAATAATATTATCACATCTAACAAAATTAAGGATTAAAACCTAATCTCATTTAATATAGAACTGTGTTCAGTTTCCTTTTTTTTTTTTTTAGCAAAAATGACTTCTTGTGTTGCAAAACTTACTTTGAATGTCTGTATTTTAATATGTACATAAATATCTTCATCATTCAACAGCAACATTATAGTTAAAATGCAATGAAGAGGACTGCATTAATATGCATGGTAATTATGACATGTTTCAAAATACATTCTTCATTTTCAAAGTAAGTTATACTCCTGACACATTTCAGATTATTGGAAAGTAGTGTAGTATAAAACTTCAATAGACATAATACTAAAAATATCTGGTTGCCTAAAAACATCAGGTAAGAACTTTTTATGGCATTATTACTATTAGTTTATTTACTATGCAGTTTGAAAACAAAATTTACCTTGTGTTTCAATTACTTGGAGAAAACCTTTTTTGAAAGTTAGTGAAGTTGTAGAAAAGTCTCATTAGAATGTTAAATATTAATGACATCTTTAAACTCCACGCTTAAGAGTTAGGGAAATAAGAATAGGAATACAATAATTTGCCAATGTAAAACTGAATAATCTGAACTTTTTAACTCTGGGTTCTGTGTCCAACATTATGACCTTGAATGATGTGAGAAAATACATTTCTTGCTTTCTTTTTTTGCATAATTTGGAATTTACCGTTAACCTAGGTCATTGAGATGCTGGGGGTTAGTGACCAAAATGTTCATAAGAAAGATGATGGCTTGGGAAGTTGAATTTAACTTTTTCTAAGGATGTAGTTTTTTTTTTTTTTAATTACTTAGAAACACAAGTTTTAACATAGAAGAGAAAGGAAACATGTCTTTCAGGAAATTTGTAAGTAACAGAAAATCTTTCTGTTCTGCAATGAGAACACTTGGACACAGGAAGGGGAACATCACACACCGGGGCCTGTTGTGGGGTTCGGGGATGGGGGATGGATAGCATTAGGATATATACCTTATGTAAATGACGAGTTAATGGGTGCAGCACACCAGCATGGAACATGTATACATATGTAACAAACCTGCATCTTGTTCACATGTACCCTAGAACTTAAAGTATACAAAAAAAAATCTTTCTGTTCTGGACATTCTAATGCATTTGATAGAACCCTCAAACAGGATGCCCTTTTTATAAATATTTATCTATTCAAAAGGTACGTAATTTCTTTTACATCTTTGGTAACTTTAGGGATTAAACAGATTAGAAAATTTTTTCAATATATACTGCAAAATCAAATTGGGTCTTTATTTTACTAGCTCCGTGGCCTTATGTAATAAAATAACAACAAAATCAATCAAACAAACAACAAAACAAAACACAAATGTGTATATTTGAAAGGTATGTGTGAGAAATTTCTCTTCTAAACTCTATTTTTTCTTATCTAAAGACAACAGATTTGTTAATAATTTCTGCTTCTTCATCGAACTACCTGTATATTTGTGTGTGTTTTCCCTCCAGTACCAAATCCCTACAGAGGCATTTCCTATAAGCCAGACTTGGGATAAAGGAGAGTAGCAAATGGAGCCATTTGCCCTTGGGGCCAAGCTCATTTTACCAATCACAAAATACAAAAATACAAAAAATAAAAAAGAACAAAAGACTTTGTGTTAAATATTTTTAAAATGGTTAACTGTGTTTAAAATGATTAAAATTATTTGAGTGAGGAGAGGTGAATATTTCAGAACCCTCAAAGCACAAGTCCTTTGAATTTATTTATTTAGCTTTGTGGAGTTTTGTGCTTTCAGCAATTTATAGGTATAGAATCACATACATGGCTGCTCATGCAAACATGCACACACACATGCAAACAAGGCATCACACACCTAGGGTCACAGAACCAATATATTCTATATATTCTCTCACTTTCCTGGAACTACAACCATGGGAACAAATTCTTTTACGTAGGGCTCCAGCATCATAGGAGAACTGGGGGAACTTGGCATGGGTTATTGTCCCTCTGTGGATTCCATACTATGGAACATCAAGATGGTGATATAGGTCTCCTTTGCCCTTCCTTATTATGGGTATTGTCTGTTGGAGTTTATCACTACTTCATTTGTAAATACTAAGCATTCCTGTTTTCTATCCCCCTTAAACCTTGAAAGCTCAGTTTGGATATCACTTCTTTTGGGTAGCTTTTCTGCTTGTTGCATAACAAAACTGTCGTTCTAAGATTTCAATAGCTTCTCTGATACTATGGCAAAATTCAAAGTCCCTTTTTATGCTCACAAGACTCTTCAAGATCTTTTATCAACAATTCTGTCTCTCTCCACTCCCCAGCTTGCATGCTGTTTCATCCTTGTGAAGGCAGTATGGCTTAATGGTCAAGACTGCACAATCTGAAACTAAACTGCTCGGCTCACCTCAGGTATTTAGTAGCCCAGTGACCTTGGGCAAGTTACCTTCCTTTTATTTCTCATGTTCCTCACCTGTAAAATAGATGTAATTATGGTAGCCTTTATGATAGGGTGGTTGTGTTTGTATGGTTCCTGTAATCCTTTTCTCAGTCTCTAATTATTCTCCTATACCCTCCCACTATTCTATAACGTTATGAATTTTAGAGGTTATGTATGGGGAATCCTTGATACCCTAAATTCTGAAAAAGCTTTAGGCACATGAATGTTCTCAATAAATATTTCGTGTTTAAATGACTCTGAAAGGGAGACTCATACTCTGATAGTAATATCTGATACTGATGTCTAATACTATATTTTATAAATGTATATTTCCTCTTATATTCTGAACTGTTTCTTCCTCATAGTGTTGCCCAGCATAGAGTTTGTATTCACCTAGCATCAATAAGTAATTTTTGGAGTGATCACAGAATAATTATAATGGTAGTTCAGAAGATCTAAAAGTCTTGGAAATAACATCCATTTTCAAATGATTTCTCCGAGAGATTACTCCCTCCAAACCTTATCTAAAACAGAAAACAAAAAACAAAATTTAATTGAGAGATATTTTATCTATGGTCAACTTTCCTGCTGCAAGGTCTATGAAAGAAGAAAACAGAGTTTGATCTACACATTACAGAGTTTGACCTAAGGGATGCTAATATAACTGTGTCCTTTCATCATCACCCTGTGATCCACTTTATCTTTAGCAGCTTCCCTTGTAGGAAAATGACCTGAGCATACCACATCCTCAGCAGTCAGGCAGAGTTATTATTTTAGGGAATCAAAACCCAAACAGAACATGGAAATATTTTTAGGATGCTAGCAAAACACATATAAGAGTATACGTGTTTCACAGTATCCATGTATTCCAGAATTATCTTGCTGTATAAAAGTATTTTACTATGTAAGAAATGCAAATAATAAACGAAAAGGTGACTAATGCTTCCTCACTATAGATATTTGGCATTATAGGGCATTCAGGAAATGTACTAATATTACTAAATCATTTGTTCTGTAGAAACCCAGATATTTCACTCTTGTCTTACATTCTCATTGTCTTCCATCTTTGTTTTATATACCTATTGTCTTTTTCCAGAGTACTTTAGCCACTAAAGGCTAGAAAAAGGCAGTTCCTCACTAGCAGACATTAAGCCCTGAGCAGCAAGAATCACAGGCAATACATGGGTTGCAGAGCAGTATTGCCACAAAGAGGGATGTGGGGATGGTAGGGATTTCATTTCTCTAGAGCAATAAGCTCAACGTAAAATGGTTCCCAATTCTTACCTAAAGACTGTGCACCATCATCGTCTCTCATAACATCACTAAACAGCTAAATAGTGTCATTCACACCCTTCCCAACTGAAATAATGCCAAAGCTTTCCCAAGTTTATTCATCTGGATAAGAATGTGGGACAGCTGAGTAATTAGTCATAATGTCTCTTCTACTATTTAAGGTTCAATAATTGCTATTTAAAATAATGTTTAAATAAAATTTACAGACATTTAGATATGTTACATATAAAGGTTTCTTATATTAATATAATAAATTCCATATTTTTGAAATTCAGGATATACAGCTTACTCTATTTTGACTTTAAATATTCAATTATTTCTGAAATAGTGTGTTAACCATCTCTTAAAATGTAGCCAATATTAACTGTAATACACACCAGACACTTTGAAGAATTTCTTTAAATTTAAAATATTTTAGAAAAATTTTTGTAATGGAAAAGCTAAGAAAAATTTAAATATTTTAAGAATAGCCATTCTAACCAGTTTGAGGTAATATTTAGTTATGGTTTAACTCACACTTTCCTGGTGATTAGTTATAAGTGTTGGCAAGGATGTGGAGAAAAGATAACTCTTGTGCACTGTTGGTGGGAATGTTAAATTATTATAGTCATTATGGAAGCTCCTCAAAAACTAAATATAGAATTGCCATATGACCCAGCAAATTTACACTACTGGTTATAATATATCCATAAAGAAAGTGAAATCAGTACATCAAGAAGATAAGTGTACTCACATGTTCATTGTAGCACTATTTACAATAGCCATGATATGGAAAGAATCGAAGTGCCCATCAATAGATGAATGGAATAAAAATGTGTTTTGTATATATAAATATACACACACACACACACACACACACATATATAGTGTTCCATTGTGTATATATAGTTAGCCTTTAAAAAGTAGGAAATTCTGTCATTTGAGATAACACAGATGAATCTAGAGGATACTATGCTAAGTGAAATAAGCCAGGCACAGAAAGACAAATACCACCTGATCTCACATGTGGGATGTAAAGAAATGGAACTCATAGAGGTAGAGACTAGAATGTTGGTTACCAGATGCTAAGGGGGAGAGGAGAGTACAGGAAAGGAGAGTATTGGTAAAAGGGTACAAAGTTTCAGTTAGAAAGAATAAGTCCTAGTGATTGATTGAACAGCATGGTGACTATAGTTAATGATAGTGTATTGTATGTTTCCAAATTGCTAAAAGAATGAATTTTAAATATTTGTATCACAAATAAATGACAAGTATGTGAAGTGATGGCTATGTTAGCTTGATCTGAAGAGTCTTGAATCACTGATGCCACCTGCCCCAAACACCCCAGCAGTGGCTGCATGGCATGGAAAGAGAATGTGTGTGTGAGAGAGGGAGAGGACAGGGATTCTGAGACATTGCATTGAACTTACCCTGTCATGGTAGAAAGCAAAACTAAGCTGAAATCAGTTGATGCCTGCCCACAGAGGGAGTATTTAAATCAGCTCTAGCCAGAGGGAAATTGTTTACCTCAGCAGTCAGAACTTGAGTTTGAGCAAGACCTGCCACCATGGTCAAAAGTGCACTGGGACCTAAATAAACTTCAAATGCAGTCTAGGCCACAAGGACTACAAGTCCTAGATGAGTCCTACTGCTGAATTGGGCTCAGAGCCAGAGGATGTGGGTGGTATGTGACTATTGAGGCATCAAACAGGGTGGATGAAGGAGTGCTATGTCACCCCTTTTCCAAACCCAGGCTTCAGAGCTCATGCCTCCAAAGGAGATGCCTACCTTTCAACTGAGGAGATGAGAAGGAAGAATAAAGAGAACTTTGTCTTGCATCTTGGATACAAGCTCAGCCACATTAGGATAGAGCACTAGGCAGAGTCATAAGGCCCCTTTTCCAGGCCCTAGCTCCCAGATGACATTTCTAGATACACTTTGGCCAGAAGGGAGCCCACTGCCTTTAGGAAAAGGACTTTGTCCTAGCAGAATTCTTTGCCTGCAGGCTAAAGTGCCCTTGGCCCCTAAATAGTACGCCATGGACCTTGGGTAAAACTGAGACAAACTGACTTCAAATGAAACTTGGCATATTCCTAGCTGTGGTGGCTATGAGCAAAAACCGTTGCCTGAGACAATAGATAGAAAAGGAAGGGAACTTTGTCTTGCGCCTTAGGTACCAGATTGTCCACAGTGGGATGAAGCACCAAGGAGGCTCTTGGGATTTCCAAAGCCAGGATTTGGATTTTGGAAGACATTTCTGGACCTTCTCTGGGTCAGAGAGGAGACCTCAGCCTGAAGGATGAATCCCAGGCCAGGCAGCATTCACCACAAGCTGACTGAGGAACCCTTGGACCCTAAGGGAACATTGGCGGTAGGCTGGCAGTACTCCCTGTGGGCCTGCGGTGGTGGGTAAAGCTCCTTTGCCTGTGGAACTGGGAGAAAAAAAGTGAGAAAAACTGCATCTCATTGTTTGTCAGCTCATCCATAGCACAATAGGACAATAGATAGACTGCTAACATTTTGACTCCAGTCCCTGGTTCGTGGCTAGCACCTCATGAATAACCTGGGGCCTGGGGGAAATAACTGCCCAGGTAGCCAGGTAGTTGTTTCAGCAGGTGTTGGGCAAGATCCTGGCTTCAGGTATGACCCAGCACAGTCCCAGTGACCACAGGGGTGCTTGTGTCACCTCATCCCCAGTTGCAGGTGGCTCAGAAAGAGAGAGAAACATTTTTTTGTGAGAAAGTAAGGGAAGAGAATAAGAGTGTCTGCCTGGCAATCTATAGATTTCTTCTGGATCTTATTCAAGACGATCAAGGTGGTACCTCTATGACTGTGCAAGAACCACAGGATAACTGGGCTTGGGGTGGCCCCCAATAGAAACACAACTTATAACACAACACCTTATTCCTTTTGAATATTTGGAAAGCTTTCCCAAGAAGGACAGGTACAAACAAGCCCAGACTGTGAAGACCACAGTAAATACCAAACCCTTCAATGCTCAGGCATAGATGGACATACACAATAATCAAGATCATCCAGGAAGATATGAACTCACCAAATGAACCAAATAAAGTACCAGGGACCAATCCTAGAGAACAGACATATGTGACCTTTCAGACAGAGAATTCAAATCAGCTGTTTTGAGGAAACTCAATGAAATTTTAAGATAACACAGAAGGAATTCAGAATTCTATCAGATAGATTTGCCACAGATATTAAAATAATTAAAAGGTTTAAAGGAGAAATTCTGAAACTGAAAAATTCAATTGAAATACTGAAGAAGGCATCAGAATATTTTTCTAGCAAAACTGGTCAAGCAGACGAAAAAATTAGTGAGATTGAGCATGGGCTACTTAAAAATACATAGAAAATACAAAAGAAAAAAGAAAGCCAAGAAGCATGCCTATCTTATCTAGGAAACAGCTTCAAAAGGGAAAATCTAAGAGTTATTGGCCTAATAGCAGAGGTAGAGAAAGAGATAGGGGTAGAAGTACATTCAAAGGGATAATAACAAAGAACTTCCTAAACCTAGAGAAGGATATCAATATCCAAGTATGAGAAGGATATAGAACACCAAAAAGATTGAACCCAAAGAAGACTACCTCAAGGTATTTAATAATCAAATTCCAAAATGTCAAGGATAAAGAAAGAACTCTAAAAGCAGCAAGAGAAGAGAAACAAATAACTTTCAATGCCATTCCAATACATCAGTCAGCAGACTTTTCAGTGGAAACCTTACAGGCCAGGAGAGAGTGGCATAACATGTTTGAAGTGCTGAAGGAAAACAAACAAACAAAAAAACTCTTTATCCTGGAATAATATATCCACAGGAAATATACTTCAAATATGAAGGAGAAATAAAGACTTTCCCAGACAAACAAAAGCTGAGAGATTTCATCAACAACTGAACTATTCAACAAGAAATACTAAAGAGAGTACTTCAATCAGAAAAAAAAAAGATGTTAATAAGTGAAAGGAAATTACCAGAGGTACAAAACTCATTGATGATAGTAAGTATGGAGAAAAACACAGAATAGTACAACAGTGTAACTGTAGTTTCTAAACTATTCTTATCTAAACAATAACCCAATCAAAAATAACTACTATGACTTTTCAAGACATAGACAATACAATAAAATATAAATTGAAACAACAAAAGTTAAACACTGGGAAAATAAAGCTAACATGTACAATTTTTATTAGTTTATTTGCTTGTTTATTTTTTATACAAACAGTGTTAACTTGTTATCAGGTTAAAGTGATGGGTCCTAACATAGTATTTGCGAGGTTTATGGTAACCTCAAATCAAAAAACTTACAACAGATACACAAAAAATAAAAATCAAGAAATTAAATCATACTGCCAAAGAAAATTACTTTCTCTAAAAGAAAGACATGAAGGGAAGAAAAAAAAGAAGTGAAGACCACAAAACAATAAAAAATAACAAAATGGCAGGAGTAAGTTCTTACTCATCAATAATAACATTGAATGTAAATAGACTAAACTCTCAGATCAAAAGACGGAATGGTCAAATGGATAAAAAGCAAGACCCAATGATCAGTTGCCTACTAGAAACTCACTTCACCTATAAAAACACATATATACTGAAAGTAAAAAGATGTAAAAAGATATTCTGTGCCAATGGAAATCAGAAAAGAGCAAGAATAATTATACTTATGCAAAACAGTTTTCAAGACAAAAACTATTAGAAGAGCAAAGAAGGTCACTATATAATAATAAAGAGTCAATTCAGCAGGAGAATGTAACAATTGTAATTATATATGAACCCAACACTGGAACACCAAGATATATAAAACAAATATAATTAGAGCTGAAGAGGAAGATAGACCTCAATTTAAAAAAATATCTGGAGATGTCAACACCCTGTTTCATCATTCTATAGGTCATCCAGACAGAATATCAACAATGAAATATTAGACTGAATCAGCCCTACAGACTAAATGGACCTAATAAATATTTACAGAACATTTCATCTAATGGCTTCAGAATATTCATTCTTTCCCTCAGTACCTGGACCATTCTCAAGGCTAGATTATATATTAGGCCAGAAAACAAGTCTTTAGACATTCCAAAAAACTGAAATAATATCAAGTATCTTCTCTAAACACCATGGCATAAAACTAGAAATCAATAGCAAGAGCAATTTTTGAAAGTATACCAACACATGGAAATTAATCAATATACTCCTGAGTGACCAGTGGGTCAATGAAGAATTAAAAAGAAAATTGAAAATTTCCTGGAAACAAATTATAATGGAAACACAATATACCAAAACCTATGAGATACAGCAAAAGCAATACTAGGAAGGAAGTTAATAGCTGTAAGGGCCTACATCAAAAAACAGGAAAACCATCAAATAAACAACCTAACTGCATTGTAAAGAATTAGAAAAGCAAGAGCAAACCAAACATGAAATTAGTAGAAGAAAAGAAATAATAAAGATCAGAGCAGAAATAAATGAATTTGAAATGAAGAAAACAATACAAAAGATAAATGAAACAAAAACTTTTTTTTTGAAAAAGTAAAGAAAATTAACACACTTTTAGTGAGACTAAGAGAAAAATACAGAAGATCCAAATAATAAATTAAGAGATGAAAAAGGGGAAATAGCAACTGATATCACAGAAATTCGAAGACTCATTAGTGGCTAATATGTGCAACTATATGCTAATATATTGGGAAATCTAAAGGAAATGGATAAATTCCTTGACACTCAGAACCTACCAAGATTAAATGATGAAGACATTCAAAACCTAAACAGACCAATATCAAGTAACAATATCAAAGCTATAATAACAAGTTTCTCAGCAAAGAAAAGCCCAGGACTTGATGGTTTCATTGCTGAATTCTACCAAATATTTAAAGAAGAACTAATACCAATTCTACTCAAACTATTTCAAAATATAGAAGAGGAGGGAATACTTCCAAATGCATTCTGCAAGACTGGTATTACTCTGAAACCAAAACCAAAAAAAGACACCTCAAAAATAATTAAAAAATAAAACTACAGGCCAATATCCCTGATGAATATTGATGCAAAAATTGTTAGCAAAATACTAGCAAACCAAATTCAACAAGATAATGAAAAGATTATTCATTATGACCAAGTATGATTAATCCCAGGGATGCAAGGATTGTTCAACATATACAAATCAATTAATGTGTCACATCATATCAACAGAAATAAGGACAAAACCATATGATGTCAATTAATGCTGCAAAGCATTTGATAAAATGCAACATCCTTTCATGATAAAAACCTTCAAAAAACTAGGAGTAGAAGGAACATATCTCAACATAATGAAAGCCACACCTGGCTTTTATTAGGCTCATAGCTAGTATTATTCTGAATGGAGAAAAAGTGAAAGTCTTTAAGGTCAGAAACATGACAAGAATGCCCACTTGCACCCCTATTATTCAACATAGGACTGGAAGTCTTAGCTAGAGCAAACATGCTAGAGAAAGAAATAAAGGGCATCCAAATTGGAAAGGAAGAAGTCAGATTATCCTTGTTAGCAGATGATATAATCTTATACTTGAAAAAACCTCAAGACTCTACCAAGACAAACAATTAGAACTAATAAATAAATTCAGTAAAGTTGCAGGATACCATTCAATGAACAAAAATAAGTAGGATTTCTAGCCTTGAGAATGGTCCAGGTACTGAGGGAAAGAATGAATATTCTGAAGCCATTAGATGAAATGTTCTGTAAATATTTATTAGGTCCATTTAGTCTGTAGGGCTGATTCAGTCTAATATTTCATTGTTGATATTCTGTCTGGATGACCTATAGAATGATGAAACAGGGTGTTGACATCTCCAGATATTTTTTTAAATTGAGGTCTATCTTTCTCTTCAGCTCTAATTATATGCCAACAGCAAACAATCTGAAAAGGAAATCAAGAAAATAACCCTATTTACAATAGCTGCAATATAATACAATTTCTAGAAATTAACTAAAGAAGTCAAAGATCTCTACAGTAAGAAGTATAAAACATTGATGCAAGAAACTGAAGACAACACACAAAAATGGAAGGATATTCCATGTTTATAGATTGAAAGAATCAATGTTGTTAAAATATCTATACTACCCAAAGCAATTTATAGATTTATTGTATTTCCCGTTAAAAAAATAATGAAATTCTTCACAGAAACAGAAAAAATTCTAAAGTTTATATGAAGCCATGAAAGACCTAGAATAGCCAAAGCTATCCTAAACAAAGGAGAAAAAAAAAACTGAAGGAATCATATTACCTTACTTGAAATTATACTACAGAGATACAGTACCCACAATGACATGGTACTGGAAGAAAAATGGACAAATATATCAGTAGAATGGAATACGGATCCAAGAGATAAATCCATACATCTACAGTAAACTCATTTTTGACAATGGTGCCAAGAACAAACATTGGGGAATGTACTGTCTCTTCAATAAAGATGCTGGGAAAACTGGATATCTATACACAGAAGAATGAACGTTGACCCTCTATCTCTTTCTCTATACAAAAATCAAATCAAAATGAATTAAAGACTTAAATCTAAGACATCAAACTACTAGAAGAAAATACTGGAGAAACTATCCAGGACATTGGATTTGGCAAAGATTTATTGAGGAATCAACCTCAAGCACAGGCAACCAAAGCAAAAATGGACTAACAGGATCCTATTAAATTAAAAATCTTCTGCATAGCAAAGGAAACAATCAACAGGGTGAAGAGACAACCCACAGAATGAGAGAAAATATTTGCAAACTACCAATCTGACAAATTATCAATAATCAGAATACATAAGGAGTTCAATTGTATAGGAAAAAAGATATCTGATTTTTTAAAAAATGGGCAACATATCTGATAGATATGTCTCAAAAGGAGAGCTACAAATGGCAAACAGGTATATGAGAAGGTGCTCAACCTCACTGACCATCAGAGAAATGGAAATCATAACTACAATGAGATATCATCTCAAATGATATATCTCAAAAAGATATCATTTCAAATGATATATCTCAAAAAGATATATCATTTGAGATATCATCTCAAATAAAATGGCTTTTATTTAAAAGACACGCAATAACAAAGGCCGGTGAGGATGTGCAGAAAAGGGAACCCTCATACACTGTGGAAATGTAAATTAGTACAACTACTATGGAGAACTGTTTGGAGGTTCTTTAAAACTAAAAAGACAGCTACCATGTGATCCAGCAATTCCACTGTTAGATATATACTCAAAAAAAAAGAAAATAAACATCATGAAGAAATATCTGCACTACCATATTTATTGCATCATTGTTTACAATAGCCAAGATTTGGAAGCAACCTAAGTGTCCGTCAACAGAAGGAAACATAAAGAAAATATGGTACATTGACACAACAAAGTACTATTCAGCCATTAAAATAAAGAGATGCTGTCATTTGCAACAACATGGATGGAACTGAAGGTCATTATGTTAAGTGAAATTATCTAGCCATAGAAACAAAAACTTGACATGTTCTCACTTGCTTCTGGGAGTTAAACATTAAAATAATTAAACTCATGGAGACAGAGAGTAACAGGATGGGTATCAGAGGCTGGGAAAGGGTATTGTGGTGGTGGCGAGAAGGAAGTGGAGATGGTTAATGGGTATGAAATGTAGTTAGCAAGAATGAATAAGACCTACCATTTGCTAGCAAAACAGGGTGACTATAGTAAAAAAAAAATTATTGTACATTTACAAATAACTAAAAATGTGTAATTAGATTGTTTGTAACACTAACGATAAATTTTTGGGGTTATGGATACCTCTTTTACCCTGATGAGATTATGACACATTGCATGTCTGTGCCAAAAGTTTTCATGTACTTCATAAATATACCTACTATGTACCCACAAAAATTAATTAAAAATTTTTAACTATTAAATTATTTTAACTAAATTGCATGTGGGAATTAATTTATTAAATAAGTTTGTTTAAGCTTCTTTTTATTCTTTGTTCAGAATGCCTCAAAACATTCACCAAGTCTCCAAAACGTTGGCATGGCACACATTCCTCACAAACCATAAGAAGTTACAGGCCTTCTATACAAAAGGTCAACAAGCTTCTTTAAGTAGCTAAGTAGTAAATATCTTAAAATTGTGAGTTTTATGGTTTCTGCAGAAAGTATTTAACACTCTCTTGCAGCAGGAAAGCAGTCTATGGCTGCTTGCTTGTAAACCAATAAGGATGGCTCTGGTCTAATAAAACTTTATTTACAAAAACAGGCAACAGACAGGAATTGGTATATGGTCCATATTTCAATGACGTCTGCTCTAAACCCTTGCCCTTCAACCTTTAAAATGCATATTAACCTCATGCATTGATGAAGTTTGTTTTGATAAAGTTGTAACAGGATGTTATAATCCAGTTTTTAATCTGGAATATCTTTGACAATGTCTATCTCTAGAGTGCTACTCCATAAATAATCCCAAGGTATCATGTGCTATTACCTGAAGCTATTACACACATTGACAAGACAATGGCACATGAGACTTTGAATCACATGCCAAAACATGCCTTGAAAATTGATGGTGCGTATGTATGTATGTGTGTACATAAGTTTGTAAAAGAGTACAAATTTTTGTCATTTCTTCTGAAAATTTTCATGCACAAACCCTTATTTGTATTATTTATTAATCGTATAATGACATTAACCCTATAACCAATAATCCCTAAATTTTTCTTAATTTCCCTAGGTAGGAAAGCACAGCCATCTCTTCTCTTTTCTCCTAAGCAACACTCTAATTTTGTCTTACACCTCAATATTATTTATAAGTTTAGTAGAAGTACGAGATACAAAATCTGGCTTTATATATCCTGTGTAGTCAAAGCTTTTTTTATTTTTATTTTTAAATTAGATATGCATATACATATACATACTTTCAAAGTCTTTGTGAAAAAAATTATTCAAAGATTGAAAGAATATAGGCCTATATTAATAGCTAAAATGTATAGCCCATACTCAGTATCAGGTACTGTGAAAGCATTTGGTGTGAATTAGTTCATGTAATATCACAACTGATGGGGTCAGTACTCATTAGAGGCCAATTTCATATATTAGAAACATAAACCTATGTAAGTTAAAATAAAATACTAAAATGTTCAGAGCTATGTATCAAACTCAATCTCTAAGACACCATAAAGATTATAGTGCTTGAAGGTACGCCACGATATAATGTGACAAGTAGGTTAGGCAATGAAATACAATATCTTACTTCATCTGAAGCTACTCATCTTTTTAAATGTTAATAATAGTTTCTTTTGGGAAACTTGGGATGTCACGCTTCTACACAACAAATATTGCTTGGCTAAGTTTATCTTCAGCTACAAAATGCATGTATAAAGATTTTCAATTGTGCCTTTTGGGGTAAGGATAAGTAAATGAAATAGTGAATGTATTAAAATATACGTATATATATCATACTTAAGCACCTAGTATTGTTGAAAAGTAGAGAAGAATTTCATATTAGCAAAACTATATCAAATGGTCTTAGTTTTAAACAGGTTTAATAGCATGTTACTGGTAGAAAACAAAAACAAAAACAAAAGTACACACACATAGACCAATGGAACAGAATAGAGAAACCAGAAATAACACTGCATCTGATCTGCACAGCCATCTGGTCTTGGACAAAGTTGACAAAAATAAGCAATGGGGATAGAATTCCCTATTCCATAACGCTGGGATAGCTGACTAGCCCTATGCAGAAAACTGAAACTGTACTTTAACTTTTCACCATATGCAAAAGTTAACTCCAGATGGATTAAATCCTTAAATGTAAGCCCTCAAACTGTAAAAATCTTAGAAGAAAACCTAGAAAACACCATTCTGGACATCAGCCTTGGAAAATAATTTATGATTAAGTCTTCAAAAGTAATAGCAAGAAAAACAAAAATTCACAAGCGGGACTTGATTAAACTAAAGAATTTTGTGTAACAAAAAAGAAAAAAGCCATCTACAGAGTAGACAGACAACCTACTGAATGAGAGAAGATAGTTGCAAACAATATATAGAATCTCGGCAAAAGACATAATCAGGCACTTATCAAAAGAAGACATGTAAGTGGCCAAAAAGCATATGAAAACATGCTCTACATCACTAATCATTTGTTTTGTGCAAATCAAAACTGCAATCAGATACCATCTCACACCAATTAGAATGTCTATTATTAAAAAGTCAAAAAACAACAGATGCTGGTGAGGCTGGAGAGAAAAGGGAACACTTACACACTGTTGGTGGGAATGTGTATTAGTTTAGCCACTGTGGAAAGCAATTTGGAGATGTCTCAAAGAACTTAGAACAGACCTACCATTTGACCCAGCAATCCCATTACTGATTATATATCCAAAAGAAAATAAATTGTTCTACCAAAAAGACCATGTACTTGTGTGTTTATTGCAGCACTATTCACAAAAGCAAAGAAATAGGACCAATCTAAGTGCCCATCAACAGTAGACTGGATAAAAAAGAAAATGTTGCTTATATATAGACCATGGAATACTATGCAGCCATAAAAAAGAATAAAATCATGCCCTTTGCAGCAACATGGATGCAGCTAGAAGCCATTATACTCAGCAAATTAATGCAGGAACAGACAAGGAAACATTGCATGTTCATGTTCTTACTTACAAGTAGGGACTAAGCATTGAGTAGGCATGGACATAAAGATGGGAACAATAGACACTCAAGGGTACCAGAAAGTGGAGAGAGGAATGGCCGCAAAGGCTGAAAACTATCTATTGTGTACCATGCTCACTATCTTCATGACAGGACCATTCACACCCCAAACACCTCAGTGTCACACAATACACCCATGTAACAAACTTGCACATGTATTCCCTGAATCCAAAATAAAAGTTGAAATTATTAAAAAGAAAGAAGTAAAACATGAACAGATTTAGGCAGGACTATCTGAGAGAAGTCTAGCGCATTTGATGGAGACAAGTGCAAAGGGAATTAAATTTAACAGAAAAGAGGAAACATAAAGGTAAATATACAGCAAAATGACATTAATATAATAAGAATAGTAGTGGAAAACATTAATATATGTTGTCTATATAAACCAATCATTTATGTGGCACTTAAGCACACAATTTATGTATCAAAGAACCATTTGTTTATTCAAAAATATTTATGGTTTTGTTGACTCTGTCTGCATGGTCTGAGGCTGGGTTCTGAACAATTCAAGAGCTTGGAGGCCTTCTAACAGGACTGGCTACAGGGCAATGCAAAGTCAATCAAGAGACCATCCAGTGGCTCTTGGAGGAAAATGACCAGCTAAGGTGTTGTATCACGGAACATCAGAACAAGAGCTAGGCAGGAGAGCATCCAGAACCAGCATACCTTACATAGAAGTCTTGTTTACTTGGCTACCATACAGACACCTGCCTAACCATGCTTCAAAAGTAATGGTTAATCTTCCAGTTGGTGGTTGTAAGTAATCGAATATATCTCCTTTGAAATATGACTGGATTTTTATCAACTCAACTGCTTAAGAGATGAATGAAACCGCTATGGGTTTCTTTAAGAAAACGGGAAAATGTGTGGCTGGGCGCGGTGGCTCACGCCTGTAATCCCAGCACTTTGTGAGGCCAAGGCAGGTGGATCATGAGGTCAGATTGAGACCATCCTGGCTAATATGGTGAAACCCTGTCTCTACTAAAAATACAAAAAAATTAGCCGGGCATGGTGGAACATGCCTGTAGTTCCAGCTACTCAGGAGGCTGAGGCAGGAGAATCACTTGAACCCAGGAGGTGGAGGTTGCAGTGAGATGAAAAATAAAAAAAGGGAAAATGTGAAGAAAGCTGCTAAGACAACTATATTCTCATCACAAATATTTATTTTATTAATTTATCAGATTCTTTAATGAGTAGACCTGGATGTGTTCTTTTCTGAAGTGAGCAAAGACAGGATGGGTAACTTCAAGCATACCTTTTTAGTTTCAAACAGAAAAGGGAACTGAGTAAGTGTCGAACAGCAGGAATTGGTGAGACTCATAATGACATGTGGAGCACGTGACAGTTAAGACTAAAAAGGGTAGCAGTGCCCATGTTAAAAAGTTCCCTGTACAACGTAGCAGGAAATTTTATTTTATAGACAGCAGTTAAGTATTCTATATTTACGTACAAAGATTAGTGGATAAAACATGTGTTTTTGAAAGGTCACTCATGCTCCAATGTAAAGACAGAATGAGAGAAAGATGAGATTAAGATAGGAAGAGCAATTAGGAAACACTTTAAATAAACTAGGCCAAAAAATAACAGTGGCTTAGAGGAAAGTGCAGTCAGTGAGAATAAAAAGAAGTGGACAGAATAAAGAGATCTGACACAGATATTGAATATTAAGCACATCAGGGTGTTGAGGGACAGGTGAAAATCATGAATTCCTTTATTAATTCCTTCAACAAATATCTGTTGAACTCCTATTTTATGCTTATCAACTTTGTAGACACATGGTGACCATGAATAAACAAGAGAGAGAAAAAAAATCGCTGACATCATGAGAGTTGTATTTTAGGGAAATACAGATAATATATATAATAGATAGAAATCAATAATACATTTGAAAATAATAAGCAATACAGGCACGAAAGCAAAGAACAAGTAAATAACATTAAGGTTAAAAGTTTTGGGAGGAGAAGAGTTTGTCTCACGAAATATGGACAATTCTTTCAAAAGAATTTATTGTAATGGGGAGAAAAGTAATGGAGTGGGACCTTTAAAAAGGAACTGCAGTTAAGAGAATGCCTTTTCTCTGGTAAAATATGAGTAAGAATATAATTTTTTGTGCATATGGAAAAGATAAAGTGGTTAATAAAAAAATTAAGATGCAAGGGAGTGAGAAGGAAAAACTGTTGAAGCAATGTCTTTGAATCAGTAAGAGAGGATGATGTATAGTGCACCAGTCACATGAATTCAATCTTTCAGATTCACTTAACTAGATGAATAATGGCCCCATTCACTGGACCAAGATACACAGGAAGAAAATTCTGGAAAGAATAAACATAAACTCACATTTAGATGTATTATAAAAGTGTCATCCTTATGAAATGTGTATGTATCTCTATACTTTTAACTAGGGCAAGAGTTCAAATAGTGTTTAAAATATAACGTGCTAAATGCTTAAAATTTGCATATTAAACTAATCAACAACTAAATAATATTTGTTTTATTCTCCTAACTTGACAACCATACATTCGCACTGGAAAAATAGAAAGTACAACAGAGTGACTATAATCAATAGTAATTTAATTGTTCACTTTCAAATACCTAAAAGAGTATAACTGAATTGTTTGCAACATAAAGGATAAGTACTAGAGGGGATGGATACCTTGTTTATCATGGTGGGATATCATTTATTCTTTGTTCAGAATGCCTCAAAACATTTACCCAGATTCTTACATGTTGCATGCCTGTATCAAAGTATCTCATGTAACTCATAAATCTATATACCTGCTGTATACACACACAAAAATAAAGAAAATAGAAAGAATGAGTTATAAGCTTTTGGTATATAGCCAAAGCTGGCAAAATTGTGAAGACAACTGGATTATTTAGATCTATATAGTATCCCTTAGGTTTATCTTCTATAATATTTTAATCATTATTCTAACAAAGATAATAGCACTATATTACTCATTGGTTTAAAAACTTCTGAACTTATTCAAATATTTTCCCATTGAGATTTCACCTTAATCTATAGTGCTCAGATATAGTTTCTAACTAGACTGCAGTCTAGTTTACATTTAATTTCTCCTTCATCATCATTTTGGCTTCTTTTCTAAATTCTTGTTTTTGTTTTGTTTTGTTTTGTTGTTGTTGTTTTTGAGATGGAGTCTTGCTCTGTCACCCAGGCTGGAGTGCAGTGGCATGATCTTGGCTCACTGCAACCTCCGCCTCCCAGGTTCAGGTGATTCTCCTGCCTCAGCCTCCAGAGCAGCTGGGATTATAAGCACGTGCTACCAAGCCTGGCTATTTTTTTGTATTTTTAGTAGAGACAGGATTTCACCATGTTGGTCAAGTTGGTCTCGAACTCCTGATCTCGTAATATGCCCGCCTCGGCTTCCCAAAGTGCTGAGATTACAGACGTTAGCCACCGCGCCCGGCCATTTTCTAAATTCTTAAAAATGTTATTGGAATAAAATCTTGGTGCACATTTCATATGTAACTCTTTTGATTCACAAAAACTTAATTTCTACAAGATTAACAAATATTTTAAAAATTATTTAAAATTAAAATATCCGCATTAGAATAGTCATTTTAAGCTATTGCAATATATTTAGCATATATATAAATATAATATTCTATATCATTAAATATATAGTATAAATAATATATGTAAATGATATATGTGTTATATACATATTCCAAAACTACGTCACAGTCATTAATTGAGTAGTGTAAATCTAAGACAATCTCATTTAGAATTCTTATAATTCTCTCTTCATATAAGGGATAGTTTTTTTTTCTTAAATCCTTTAGTTTATTTAGTGTCTCATCTAATGTAAATCCTATTGAGTCAAGAGTATTTAAAAGGCATCCTCTCTGAGTTTTTATAATATTTTTGAGATATGATGTGATCATAAAGATATTCTGACTGTAAGTGGGTCCAGAAATATCCTATGTAATTTTTTAATTGATATAAACATTGCAATGGCTATTCATCTATTGATCTTATGTCTCATAGTGACAAATTTAAACTATGTGCCGACAATGAAAAAAAAAATTTCTGGACTTTTTGCCAAAATTTAACTGACACTAAAACACTAATTTTTCATTACCATCTCCCTTAGAGCCATTAATACAATTTGAAAGACTTTTATTTAAACAACACTAAAATTGTAATTTATAAAATGTTAATGTATTACATAATTTGTTGAATATAAAACTATTCACAATTCTTATATTTAATATCATGTAATTGTCAAAGAAAAAACTCAAATAACTATATATATGCATATGTATATATACACAGTCACATATATACACATGTATATTTATAAATTATTTAAAATTCCAAAATCTTTCCCAGCCATCATGTTCAATGTTTATAAATGTTACATTCATTGAGTGTCTCTGGAACCAATAAGTAGAGCATGGAGATAATCAAGAAAATTGATGCTTGACTCTACTGGAAAATAATACTTTGTTTTGCAAGAATTATTAATTTGTTTGCTCTAAGAGGAAATATTTGAAAAGTTAAAATATGTGCCTTTTCACTTTGTTAATTAAACTAGTCCTGAATTCTGAAGTGGTGTCTCTCCACATCATTGGCAAAGATACAACCAATGTCTCTTCACAGCATTCTTATGGCAGCATTCGTTCCTAGGAAATAGAACAAGCAATTTATTTCTCTCTCTCTCTCTCTCTCTCTCTCTGTGTGTGTGTGTGTGTGTGTGTGTGTTACTATTTGTGTGTATATGTTCATATACATGTGTGTATGATATACTGGCCCTTTTCGGCTTGGGATCCATGTCAGCAGATGCTCTTGCCTGAGTGTAAGGGAACCAACAAATGAAAAAGAATAGGCTGAATATAGAATGTAAATATAAAAAATGTAGCATATAAAACTGAAACTATTGGAATTAGTTTCATAACAAATGAAGAGTGAAAAGAAAAAAAATAAATGTTTCAGGGAAAAATATATTAGAAATGAATAGAAAATTAAAGTCCATAAAAAAATTACAGAGATCAACATGGGAAGTGGGAAGAAAGATCATATGGAACCACTTACTGTAAAATGGGAGAATTTTAATGAGGTAAATGAATAAATGCTGCAGAAATGTCTAATAAGATAATATCCAGAAATAATTTTATGTAGAAGAATACTATTAGTTGTCTGCCTGACAGCATTTTCCCAATTTGTTCTTTGTAGTAAGAATCTCATTTTGAGAATATAAATAAAAATAATAATCTGTGTAGAGGGATTAGAAAAGAAAAAGAATACCAGAAAAAATAAAAAGTAAGGATTTATATAAGTCACAATGAGCCAAGTTTAGTAGCAGATAAAAACATTTGAAATGTTACATATGGATTAACAATTTGAATTGAAAAGATCAGCAATCTTGGAAAAGTATGATTGTAAATCTGTATTTTGTGGTTAATTGAAAAATGAAGACTACAACAAGAGACAGTGAGGGTTGAACTTGCTCAATATCCTTTGCTTAGGAAGTCTGGAGTATACTTAGATGGATGCATGAGCTTGAAGGAAGCTCATTTAATTTTTGTTTTTTGTTTTATTATGTAATTTATAAAGACAATTTTTAAAGCATTGTATAGCCAGAAAAAAAGTTAAACTTAAATTCTGCTTTCATAATTTCTGTTAGGATCCTGAGCTATCACTTATCCACTAGGCCTGCATTTCCATATTTTCAAAAGGGATTTTGATAAATTTAACATCCTTTTCATTTCTGCTTCTGGCTGAAAAACCAGAAGCACAATCCGTGATAGGTAATTTATATATCTTGGCTCTTTCAACTAAATCACATTGCTCTTGAATTTAATATTGCTTTTCTTTGACAATGACTAATGAATATTATTGATTATTACAAGCTGACTCTCAGTTAACTCTTGAAAAAGTATGCATATCTGTTTTATAATGATAGATAACAGAACAACTTTATGATGCATAAACAATGAATCATTGCAAGAAAGGGGTCACTAGAAATTTAAATATTTATAGATTATAAAGTGCATCAAAACTTTGTGATAAGTTAGGCAATAAAGAGCACATTTTATAACTGTCAATTATTTTAATGACTAATATATTTTTCATAAGGAGTGTTACAATGATAAAAGATTGTAAAGTGAGCAATTTTTTAAAAGCTGGTTGATTTCAATTTGCTTACTGCATTAATAAGATACAAATACTTACACTTAAATCATAATAAAAATTCATATGATTACTGAAGGTTGAACACTGCCATATTAATTAGTGAAAAATACGGTTTTAAAAGACTTTAGCAAGAAATACAGTGATTATTTCTAAATACACATAAAGATATGCATTTTTATTTATGCAATACTATTTTGAATATTTCTGCAAATGATTCTGACTTAATTGGAGAACAGCTGAAAAACATATATTAAAGACATATTTGTGAGAGGCAACATACAATGCACTTAATATTCTAGTACAGTCTTGCAAAAACATTAGGAAAATTTCCATTTTATAAAGGAAGAAAATGAAACTCAGTAAGATATAATAATTAACCAGTGATTTAACATTTAATGAGTGGTGACTACAAATTTATTTTCCTCTCTTTCTGCTCCCAATAAAATTTAAATTCATTAATCCTCGTCTTGTTTCTTATATAATAAGATTTTATTCAAACTAGAATGCCTCTTTCTGAAAAAAATATTTATCATAATAGTAGAAAAACATTCATATATATGTATTTTAAGTGAGCAAAATAATTATTTTTGTAGTAATGATAGTATATTTCATAACTTTTAAAGGTAGACAACCAGGATGATAATTTGTAGTGTTCCAAAATTTGAGATTTCATTAGTGAAAGGGATATCCTAAAGCAAGACAAAAAATAGTAGAATAACCAGATAATACGTGTAGGAATAATCCTCCACTATGATTGTGACTTTTAATTCATTTAGTAGTTTAATGAGTTATTTAGTTAGCTTTATAACAAGTACACTACAAGGTGATATTAGTCTGAACATACTGGCTGACTTTATGAAAAATAGAGTCGGCCAGGCGCAGTGGCTCACGCCTGTAATCCCAGCACTTTGGGAGGCCGAGGCGGGCAGATCACAAGGTCAGGAGATCGAGACCATCCTGGCTAACATGGTGAAACCCCGTCTCTATTAAACATACAAAAAAATTAGCCGGGCGTGGTGGCAGGCACCTGTAGTCCTAGCTACTCGGGAGGCTGAGGCAGGAGAATGGCGTGAACCGGGGAGGCGGAGCTTGCAGTGAGCCGAGTTTGCGCCACTGCACTCCAGCCTGGGCGACAGAGCGAGACTCCGTCTAAAAAAAAAGGAGTCATTGTCCCCTCTGAATTTAATATTTCAGTGAAGTTGCCACTCCTGTGAGGTAGAAACTCACTTCTGTCTAACCGCATACAGAAATTAGTCTTTGCAAATGAACTCATATCCTCTACATTCATGAACCTCTTATTCCAAAGCCAAATCCATATAATAAAATAACTGTTCATAAAAGAGCTTTCCAAAGTTGGAAGACATATTGTCACCGTTTCAAATGTCATTTTCTATTTAACATGGTTAAGCTTATAACATGACATTATAGTTTTTTAACTAGTGTAATTTCAAGGTATTATAGAAATTCCCTTCTGCTCCCAAAATAACTCCTCCTTCTTTCACACAGTTCTACATATTGATTGATGTGAGTGGGTTTTAGAGCAGGAATAATCTTCAAAAGTATCTGAATAAAAGCAAACTCTCTGTACTAATAATAATTAAAACATTTTTTCAATGGTGTATGGAGCTTGGACATATCTGGCTCATCCAGATGAACAAAAGCATTATAAAATATGAAGCTGGTGCTAGCTCACACATGGAGGTGAGAAGCTTAGCAGGAGACTCAGGAAAATTCTCATATGCCAAGACTCTCTACACCTAAAAATAACATGCTTACATTTCTTAAGAGAAAGAATAAATATAACTTTGTCTCCATACCACAAGACAGATTGAATTTGACTAAAATGTGAAGCCATTTCTCGGTGCGACAGACAAGTCACTAAGGCACCAAGACCAATTCCATATGCAACAAGATACATCTATGCCTGCTTCTAATCTAGAAACTATGGCTAGGCAGGGGTTCTGTTGTCAGATGCTGGCCATACTAGCAGAAGCTTTTTAAACAGATTTTTAAAAGACAAATTTACCAAGACACATACATTATCATCAATATGGATTTGGCTGATGAGGTTATACAAACCCCTAAAGTGATGTTATGAATGTGACTGTAAAGTACAGAGCAGTTGCTTCAAATGGACAAAGGGTATTCAGAGGATACTCCACATATAAGAACCTCACAAGAGGGTATACCTGAGTACCTCTGGTTTGGCTAACCAAGCAGCTCACGTAACTGCCTATTCTAACTATTCTAATTCAAAACTGCCTACTCTAATTCAAAAATCCTTTGCTATTCCTGAAGTAAGGTGTGATATAAGTTTTTCTGATCTTTCTGCAAATAGTAATCCTTATTTCTGTCGCCTCTCTTTCTATCCACCATTGTATTTTTTTTTTATGTTTTTGTGTACATCACTTAGTCATAGCTGTTCCATAAAGTAATGCATCTGGAACTGACAAAAAGAGTTGATACGATTTAGTAAGAGGTAGAAATGTTGGGATGTTTTCTTTTGGGAAAAGATGAATAGGTTTTGTTTAGTTGAGAGTGCAACAAGTGAATGAGTGGCATGAATTATAGGTATAGACACTGAAACATAAATTTTGTTGATGCTTCCCATTTGACAAACACCATTCCCTTATATAGCAGCTATAGTATTTGGGTACAATTAACCTCAAGGGCTAAGAAATTATTATATAAATTTAATACCTGGAAAAAATGTTTTGCTTTTTCTTTTATTAAAAAATTTTAAGAGGCTTATAATAGGGAGATCACAAATATAAATTATGATGCTTCCAATTGTCAATAACACAAAACCCAGGCTCTTCTGGGTCAAAAGAAAAAGCAAGGACACTACTGGGTCACATGTCTGAAAAATAATTTCCATAAAATGCAAAGAAGTTGCGGACTTCAAGCATGTCTGGTCAAGGTTCAAGAGGCCCTGAAGGCTGTTATTCTATCTCTCAATGATTCTTCCAACTCCTAGGCTCCAAAATTTCAGCCTTCTTTGCTTTGCTAAAGATAATGCGATCACCTTCTCCATACATGGTAATGAAACCATCATAAAGCAGACTGCCAAGAGGGCTGTTGCTTCTGCTGTTAACCAATCAAAATAAAATGTTCTCAGTTTAGGGGTTTCCTATGGTAAAATAGTGGATAATCCTAATTAAAAGTTTTGGAAATGGGTAATATGTTTTAATTTTTTAATTTTACATCCATAATTCTTGACTTCCTATTTACTTGATTAGTGAAAATAACATTGGTATTCTCTTTTACATTTCTCTTTCGGATAAGATATCAATTCTTGATTTTCTATTTTTCGTTTTGCTTTTCACTCTTACTGCTTTCTTGAAAGTTCAGACAATATTACTCTCCCTCTGTGTGTTGTTCATTTCCAAACTATTATGGTGGTAGGGTCGACTGTTAAGTCCTCATTTGTTTCAAGTGAGCAGTCCATATTTTTAGTAACCTCCACACTGCATGGATATCATTTTACAAATCCATCATTCATTAATGAATCAGTTATAAAATATTTATAGAGCATAAAATAAATTCTAAATTCTAGTCTGAGTATATAGCATACAACATTGGCTCTTATAAAACATGGGAGTATCTCCATTAATGTGTCTTATAATTTCATCACATATGTCTTCATCTAACATAGATATTCCACTATGAAAGAACTAATAACAAAGAAGTTACTTGCTGTGTACTCACGACAACCATCACATTACTTGTTAAGATTAAATAACTAGAATGTAATTTGATATTTGTAGGGAAAAACTCAAGTATCTCCTTCAGTAATTTATACTATTACAAGTGAATGAAAGAAAGTTGAAATCAATCAGAAGGCATTATCATTGGTCTGAGTACAGATGTCTTTTTTTTTTTTCTACCATGTTTGGCCATATTTATGCTAGTATATCAAAATAAGAATGGCAACTAATTACGAAATATATTTACAATAAAATAAAGACAATGAAACAACTATTGGTGTATTTTCAGTATATATGTACTGTACAACATTAGGCATCACACTTTAATCATATCCTTGACAAATTAAAGTATTCCTGGAAAAATACATAATAGGATTTAAAGGTTATTGTTTTTATGACTACATAAATATACTATATACTATACTATATTAATATAATTTTGAACTATTTTAGTTGTCTCTATAATTTCCTAATGTCAATAAGAAGTGAAATTTATTGTCTAGAAGCACATAGAAAATTGCCTAATGAAAGCTATATTAATTCATGAATCACAAATATATGGATTCCAAGAATTACAAAGGTTCTCTGTGTATGAGAATGGAAGAATATACGGAGAGAGAAAAACAAAGAAGGAAGAGGAGGGGAAGGAGGAGGAGGAGGAGGGGAAAGATGAAAAGACCTACAATAAGGTGAACTCTGTATCATCAACTTTTAGGGTTTTGTTCCAAAACATTCTTTATTTGATATTTATTACATACATTTATTATATGCTTGGCATTACTTCTGTATGGCAAATTATTCTTGTCATAGTTCTATGAGGAAACAAATACAGTAAAATAAAATAATTAATTTTATGAGAAATCATTTTTTTTTAAATGCCCATGGTATAAGAAAACCACAGGGAATGTTCAGTACCATTGAACTAGAAAGAGTTGGACATCCTAGGCAAACCGAGTGGCAAACGGAGAGAGAAACTGATTATAAGACACTGGAAAAAAATGGTAGTTCTTTAAGGAATCTCCACACTGTTTTCCACAGCGGCCGTACTAGTTTACATTCCCACCAGCAGTACAGAAGTGTTCCCTGATCACCGCATCCACACCAACAACTACTATTTTTTGATTCTTTGATTATGGCCATTCTTACAGGAGTAAGGTGGTATCGCATTGTGGGTTTGATTTTCATTTCCCTGATGATTAGTGATGTTGAGCATTTTTTCATATGTTTGTTGGACATTTGTATATCTTCTGTTGATAATTGTCTATTCATGTCCTTAGCCCACTTTTTGATGGGTTTTTTTTTTTTTTTTTACTGATTTGTTTGAGTTCGTTGTTGATTCTGGATATTAGCCCTTAGTCAGATGTACAGATTATAAAGATTTTCTCCCACTCTATGGGTTGTCTGTTTACTCTTCTGACTGTTCCTTTGGCTGTGCAAAAGCTCTTAGTTTAATTAGGTCCCAGCTATTCATCCTTGTTTTTATTGCAATTGATTTTGGGCTTTGGGTCATGAAATCCTTGCCAAAGCCAATGTCTAGAAGGGGTTTTCCAATGTTATCTTCTAGAATTTTTATAGTTTCAGGTCTTAGGTTTATGTCCTTAATCCATCTTGAGTTGATTTTTGTATAAGCTGAGAGATGAGGATCCAGTTTCATTCTCCTACATGTGGCTAGCCAATTATCCCAGCACCATTTGTTGAAAAGGGTGTCCTTTCCCCACTTTATATTTTTGTTTGCTTTGTTGAAGATCATCCCACTACTGGGTATGTACCCAGAGGAAAATAAGTCATTATTCAAAAAAGATATTTGCACACACATGTTTACAGCAGCACAATTCATAATATAGCAGCAAAATTCATAATAGCAAAGTTGTGGAACCAACCCAAATGCCCATCAATGAGTGGATAAACTCTGATATATATATATTCCATCATATATATATTCTATCATATATATATGAATATATATATTCTATCATATATATGAATATATATATTCTATCATATATATATGAATATATATATTCTATCACATATATATGAATATATATATTCTATCATACATATGAATATATATAATATTCTATCATATATATATGAATATGTATATATTCCATCATATATGTGTATATGTAGATATAGATATATGATGGAATACTACTCAGCCATAAAAAGGAATGAATTAACAGCATTTGCAATGACCTAGATGAGATTTGAGACTATTATTCTGAGTGAAGTAACTCAGCAATGGAAAACCAAACATTCATGTTCTCACTGATATGTGGGAGCTAAGCTATGGGGATGGAAAGGCCTAAGAATGATACAACGGACTTTGGAGACTTGGGGGGAGGATGGGAGACGGAGAGGGATAAAAGACAAGAAATATGGTACAGTGTATACTGCCTGGGTGATGGGTGCACCAAGTTCTCACAAATCACCACTAACGAACTTACTCATGTAACCAAATACCACCTGTACCCCAATCACTTATGGAAAAATAAAATTAAAAAAAAATAAGACACTGGAAGCAAAACTACCTTACAAAAGCTGTGACCTTTGGCTGATGGGTGAAACTGATGGTGCCCTGATAGGGAGTTAACTGAAGAAGTAAATGACATCACTTAACTGTCTTTCCCCCTTTCTATTGTTTACCTCTGGCTGAACCCCAACCATTTAGAATCCCAAAAGGCAAAGGACCCATTAATATAATCCATTAGAGTCAGGCTACCCGGGAACAGAGGAGGGCAGTGGAGAATAAAGAGCACCTCTGAAGAGGGAGATGCTTGATATTTAGCCCATAGGAGAAACTGAAAAATACAGATACAAGTTAAAGAATTTTTTTTTTTGTAAATCTTGTGCAACTTAGAGAGCTATGTTTTTCATTGTTCATAATTATATACACTGAACTTATAGCATAGTGCCTAGTAAATTGTAGCAACACAATGCAAATTTGTAAATAAAAATATGTATGAATAAGGAAGCATTGACAATAATTCTTAAATTATTTAAAAGTGGAATAAAGAGTACTCTTGTTTTACTTTGCTCCAGAGAATTAGAATTATGACCAGAGGATTATACATAAAAGGAGGCTAAACAAATGGAATACATTGTTTTAAAAAACTAGAAATTGTCTGCTAAATAATAAAATGCCATATTAGTGCTGAGCTTTCTGCCCAATGGACTCATTCCAGTAGAGATATGGTCTTTTAGAAAGGATAGAGTAGAATGAATACAGGCATTGAATAGGTTCTTGGACTGGCTGAACACTAATATCTCTACCACTTCTAAGAGCCTTCAGTTATGGAGCTCACAGGATAAATTTATTTCAGTCTTAGAATCAGGAGAGCTGTGCTTTTTCTTGAGGAACCATTTGTTGTTAGCCCCTTAGGATATTCTATATCTCTGCAAGGATCTTTGCTTTGAAAGTTAGAAATTTTAGACTCAAATTTGTTGTCCATTTTAGCAGATATGTAGAATGTTTTATAACTGTAGGATTTGCATATTATCACTACCTCTGGCTTTATCTTATTTTTCTTATGTGCACCATATATCTAATCTATTTTTTAATATTGTTGGTTATTTTCTGATGCATTTATATGCCTTTGTGGGAAAGAAAGGATATAAACAAAGTCCATAATTCTGTTGTTTTAAAATTCTTAATAAATTCAAAGAGAAAAACATATGTGGCTGAAAATGTATTTAAATTCTCTTACAAAACACATATTACAGGGATGTGTTTGCACTGTAAATTTTATCTCACCCCTTCACCCTTCAGGAGGTAGATTTCTAATTTGCCCAAAAGGGGCTGATGAATGTCCAATCTTATAAAATAAAATTTCTACAAAAAAAAGAATTTTAGCTAACTTCTCTCCTTAAGTTTGAAATTATAAAAATATTTCTGATATTTGAGATAACCTTAGCATGGATTTGAGTACAGAAAAAATATCAATAAATTTCTAGGAATAATTAATTCAAGTAAATAGATGACCAGGTTCGATGCCAGAACTGAATCCACCATGGTGTCAGGGATGTGTTCGTGTTATGTGGATGCAGTGGGAAACCTCTCTGCAATCAACAACTTTAGAACTAGAAGTATGCACTAAAATTAAAGACTGGGTGTGAATGAAAAAAATGCACAAGAAAAATAGTTGGAGAGAAAGATAAAATGGTGCAAGTTAGGCACATCTATGCATAAGAGGAGTCTTCCCTTGCTTTTCCTGGACCTCACTCCAACATACAGGCACAGACACCAGGGGACCTTCATGATGAGAGAAAAAGAGCCACCGCCACTTTCAAAGGGAACTTTTTTTTGGCAGTAAACACCAATGTATTTCTCTGTTTGATGCTTATAACTAGGATAGACCTTGCCAACAATGTTTTGAAAGTAATTATAATTCATGAAAATATTTGTATGTGTATATGTCTGTTGCTAGTTGAAATATATTAAGAAAATTTATATTAATTGTAGAAGAAGAAAGATGTTTTTCCTCACCCATTGCAATGTTCATGGTTGAGGCTCTTATAACAAAAGACAGATTAATAAGAGAAAAGCATACAGAAGCATTTAATATAAGGTTTGTATGACACAGGAGCTTTCATAAGGAAATAAAAACTCAATGAAACAGGAAAATGTGTGTAATTTTATGCCTAGGTTTGATGAAGAATGGACAGTCATGTGGAAGCATGATTGGACAAAGGAGGCATGATGTTATGATAACACACTAATGGGAATTAGCAAGTTCTGTTTGTTCAGAGTTTTCTGTGTACCTGTGTCTGCAGGGATCAGGATGTGGCTTTCCTCTGGGTATGGTGAGTGCACTGTTCGAAGGAGGGTGTTGAAACTGCTCTGCTGTCTGGGGTATATATCCTGGGGTTCGTTGTAACGTGCCAAGAAAGAATTCAGGACATGGACACATGTAGGTGGGTTAAGGAGTGGAAAGTTTAATAGAAGAAAGGACAGAGGAAAGCAGCTCCTTGCAAGAGAGGAATGTCCAAAAAGGTGGGAGGCGGGAGACGGCAGCAGATTTTATAGGCAGGTTGGAGAAAGCAGTGTCTGATTTACGTAAGGCTCACAGATTGGTTCAATCAGGTATGACATCTACATAGTTCTTGGGGAAGCCTGGTCGCCCACCCTAATCTTATTATGCAATGGGCTTTCCAGTTGATCAGTGCCATCTTGTCTGCTTCTTACTGTACACGTGGCTGACAAAGAGAAGGGAAGATGGAGCTGCCATCTTGAACATGATTTGTTGAACATGATTGGCACAACTGCCGGTATCTATGTCTGCAGCTCAATTTTACAGGCTGCTCTTTGTTAGAAAGAAAAATAATTTGGGACTGCTTTTCATTAAAAAGAAAAGCCTTACCAAGGATTCCCATGCCCTTGCTATTTGCCTAAGTTATTCCTTCTTAACTCCTATATCATTGTTATGATCTGTTTCAAAGGAGAAGGGTGAGAGAAAGTCAGAGAATGACCTTCTCACATTTTATTATCTGCTTCAGGAGAGAAAGGATAAACAGAAGGTGAGAGCCACCTTCTGGCTTCTGCAGCTTTCTCACATGCCAATGTGCCATATTTTGGGGTAGTGTGTCCTGAACTCCATCACCGATTAAACTAAACTTAACATGCATATTTAGTTTCTAGTAATGAAAATAATTTTCATTTGTATTGGCATTATTTGATGCTCAAAAAACCATGTGAAATAAAAACAAAATACTTTAATCTCATTTGACAATCAAGCTTAGTGGGTTTATGTGACCTAAAGATATTACTTAGTATTAAACGAAATTAGAGTTGTCATCTAAGCCTAGATTTTGCCCAACAATTTTCACATTAACAAAATGGGACTTCCAATCATGACTTATTTTACACCAATAAATAATGATACTAAGAGTTAACTAATACTATATTGTAGAATAATGTAAAATAAGAAACATCGTGCTGCTTTTATGGATGAACATGAATTTTTATAAATAAAGAAACATGTACATGTAAAAATATTCTCCTGAAAATATGTATGGCTAAAACAGAGGCTGAACAATTATCTATTTCGTCGAAGCCTGTCATTTTTAAGAATTCCAGTCCCACTGAAAGTGGGTGCTGAAATTTTTGTAAGCATCTATGTTCTAATCACATTTCATGGGGTAAATTGTTGTTTTAATCCAAAATACTTGTGGAAAACCTTTTGGGAATTCCATTTTGGAAAATGCAAACACTTTTTTACATTCTTACATGATTTTACTACAGGGCTCATTGCAGTCTCGGTTTCCTAGGCTCAAGGTATCCTCTTGCCTCAGTCTCTTGGACAGCTGGAACTACAAGCACGTGCCACCATGCCTGGCTAAATTTTTGAATTTTTGTCGAGACAAGGTCTCACTTTGTTACCCAGGCTGGTATCCTGGAGTCAAGCAGTGCTCCCAATTTAGCCTCCCAAAGTGCTGGGATTACAGGCTTGAGCCACTATGCCTGGACTGAATGTATATTCAAAAAGGGAGCACATGGCCAAAACTTTGAAACTCATGCAGTGTAAATTTGAAAGCTAAAATCATAGTTTTTAATACATAACAGAACTGTGAGAAAATTTAAAAGGTTTGGTCAAAATTATTGCATAATTGGCACCAAATACCTAGATAATTATAGTCAAAATTTCCTTAGTACAACACTCCTAAAAGCTAGCTCTTTATAGAGCATAAAAATTTTGTAGAAATCATTTTAGTATATAGCAAAAATAATTTTGTATTTTTAAAAAATGTTAGTTATACTTTATATCTCTCTCCATCTATGAAATAAGTAAAACTATAAATGTTATAGTTGAGGTAAGCCAAACTTAAACAACTTATCAATTCAGCCAGTCACCAGGAAAAAACTCTTTGGACACCAATCATCTAGCAAAATGTTGGTGATAAGTAAATGTGTTGAGTTCAGCTGAATAGTGATAACTTGTTATAACTATATTGAATTGATGATATATTAAGTATGGGTTTACTACAATCTAACATAAATGAACCTCCAGCCTACTGCCCCTTCAGTCAAATAATAAAAGGATAAGGCAAAAAAATTAAATGCATACACACTCACACAGACATACACAGACCCATGGGCAATTCACTCATATGTATTACTGGGATAGAGCTCATTAAAATGGTCTCACATAGCTAAATGTAATAATACAAGAAAGACTATCTAATATCAAATTCAGTATTCCTAGATGTGAATATTTTCAGAAATACCAGATAGGTTAATTTAGCGGAAAAAATGAAGAGGGGAGTGAGGAGGTTGATTGATTTGGCTGAGCATTTGCTCTTATTCTGATCTACTATTAGCCAAGAAGCTTTGGTTAGACAATTTTCACTTTTAGCATGAGATGTGAAGAGCATACTTCTTTTTTTTTTTTCTTTTTTTCTTTTTTTGAGATGGAGCTTCACTCTTGTTGCCCAGGCTGGAGTGCAGTGGTGTGATCTCAGCTCACCGCAACCTCCGCCTTCCAGGTTCAAACGATTCTCCTGACTCAGCCTCCCCAATATTTGGGGCTACAGGTGCCTGCCATCACACCTGGCTAATTTTTTGTATTTTTAGTAGAGATGAGGTTTCACTATGTTGGCCAGGCTGCTGGTCTCGAACCCCTGACCTCGTGATCCACCCGCCTGGGCCTCCCAAAGTGCTGGGATTACAGGCATGGTTTTTTATGCAGATCACCTCAAATTGCATGTTATTGAATTTTAGGATTTATATCCATTAGAATTTTTCAACATGAGATATTCAAAATAATGTCTTTAAAATGTTTTTAAAAGATAAATCAAAATAAACAACTTTTAAAAGTTAGTTTATGAAATTTGACAGTTTCCTCTAAAATTTTTTCTTTTTTCCTTAAATATTAGTAATTTGTATTCAAGCTAAATTTTATTTTAAGGTTTTGACTGAGTTTTAAATTAATAGCTTATTATTAATTAAAAGATCATGTATCAAAAGGTTTTTTTCTTTTTGGTATCATTTCACAGTTTACTCACTAAGTCTCACCCAGTGAGTCTCATCTTTCTTCAGTGGTCTTAACAATTTTGGCCTTGAGTTAATTAATTCAAAGTCTCCAGGAATGAAAGAAAGAACAAACTAGGTTCAGCCACCTCATTTTCCATTGATGGTAAAAGAACTTTAGCAATGCAAGGTTCTAATCATAAGGCTTAAAACAAAACTGGGTTGCTGCATTATCTTCCAATAACTTAAACATACTAAATATGCAATATGTTTCCTGAAAAAAAAAATTCAAGTCACATTTACATCTAAGTGTGTTTCATTTTATAAGCACAGATTGATTATTATTCTGATATCTTTTCATCCAGTTAAATGTTTAAAAATTAAGGACCATGCCTTATCAATCAATGCATCTTTTAAGTCACGGTCACAGCCTGAAGTTTTTATTTCCAGTTTCTCAGCTAAAGGAATAGAGTTCAGCAGTGCATTTAATTGGAATTTAGACATCCTAACATTTTATTTCCCATCAGAATGGTTTCAATTTCTAACAAATGGTCTGCTGTATTAAAGTAATCATCAATATAGGAAGTGTTAGTTTAAGAAAAAGATACTAGGTAAGTGAAGAATTTTAAATTACTAAGAGACGTATTTACACTTGAGATTTCCATGCCTTTGAAATGTTTAAAACCACTAGCCCTAGGAGATGTACTATGCACCAGTGAGAACAGTTTAGGAAGATTACGTTAGAAACTGCTTGCATTTCTCATTGAAGCAAAGTTAAATCCATGTGTTCATTACAGTCAAAAAAAGAAAATACGCAAAACTTTTTAATAGTGTCTAGTATAAATACTAAAGATTAATTTATTTCATTGCTGAGAGCAAGTCTTAATTCTTCAATTGGTTAAAAGTAAAATTACTAAAATTATCCTAAGAACTTGTGGTGAAAACAGAAACCTCTTTCTTTTAGTCATGTGGCACGCACACATACACACATAACACATACTTATATTTCTATATTCAGGCAGTTGTAAAAGACAGGATGGGTCTGATCTGTTTGTTAAATGGCATAAAAAGTGTTGGAAGGATGGATCCAGTGTGAAGTGGTAAGGGTCAGGCAGATAATGAAATACTGTCCATGATAACTCTATAAATGGGGCATGAGAAAAAATAACTGTCTAAATTGTTATTTATTCTATCATTAGCACTAGTCTACAATCAGCAACCAAAGAACATGTGGTTTCAATCACATGAATATTCAATACTAGCAAGACATTTAGACAGAAATTCTAATTTATTCCTAATTTTGTAAAGTGTTAAACAATTTTCCATTAAGAGATATGTCCACCGACACCAGTATTTCACTTAGTGAATTGGGATGGGATAAGGTTCTACTTCTAAGCCGTCCTCCACAGTACTGAGTTTTCTTCCACTGTTCCATCCTTAAGGCAATGGCAGAATACATGATGAGTAAGAGAGGAGAATGCATGTATGCTAGATTCTTTTGACAATACATTTGGATAAAGAACTTCAATCCAAAGTAGTATAAGCATACTCAGGTTATCTCTGAGATTACTATTTTCAAAGTATAATTGAGAGTAAGTAACTCTCAAGAAGAAAGATAGTAATTAGTATTTATCCTATGAACAGGATAAAGAAAAATAAGTTGTAATTCTCTTAAAGTATAAAAAACTATTTAATTTAAATATTCCAAATTAATTGAAGAAAACAAAATATTATACAACTAGCTAGTAAAAGAAATCTTAATTTGATTAAGTATTGATACACAAAGCATTGTGATTAATATCAGACTTAATATCTTTGAAGTTAAATAATATAAATACTGAATTTGCTGTATGCCAGAGGTTCTGGTATGTTATGTTTTCATCTTCATTAATTATTTTTTAAATTTCTGTCTTAATTTTGTTGTTGACTAAAAGACAGTACAGGAGTATCTTGTTTAAACTATATATATTTGTATAGTTTCAAGAGTTCCTCTTGAAATTGATTTCTAGTTTTATTTTGCTGTTGTCTGATGAAATACTTGGTTTGATTTTGAGTTTTTAAAATTTATTGAGACTTGTTTTGTAGCCTAACAGATGGTCTATCTTGGAGTATGTAATTAGTGCAACCTCTCTGGAAAACAGTATGAAAATTTCTCAAAGAATTAAAAACAGATCTACCATTCGAACCAGCAATGCTGTTACTGGGTAACTATCCAAAGGAAAATAAATTATTATGTCAAAAAGATAGCTGTATAGTATTAAAAAGATACTTGTATAGTATCAAAAGATAGTATGTTTATATTAGCACTATTTATAGTACCAATAGTATGGACTAAAACAAAGTGTTCATCACTGGAAGACTGGATAAAGAATAATTGATATATACATATGTAACAGAATAGTACTAAGACATAAACAAGAATAAAATCATGTCTTTTGCAGTAACATGGATGGAACAGGAGGTCAATTATCTTAAGTGAAATAACTCAGAAACAGTCAAATACTGCAACTTCTTACTTATAAGTGAGAGCTAAATAATATGTACACATGGACATAGAGTGTAGAATACTATACATTGGAGACTTGGAAGTGTGAGAGAGTGGGAGAAGGGTGAGGGATGAGAAATTTAGGGATACAATGTACACTATTCACATATTCATGTCACAAAACTGCACTTGGGCCCCCTACATTTATAATTTATTATATTAATTATAATTAATTAATTACTTCTGTAATTACTTCAGAATTACAGAAGTTTCTATTTAATATTATGAAGTTTCTATTACAGAAGTTTCTATTTAATATTATGCTGAAAGATAAAAGCAAAACCATTAGTACCTTACCAGTATACTATTAACTACTTAAAAAAATCTAACAGAAAAAAATACAGTGAACAAAATATATACTCACAGTCATAATGTTTATAAGATTTCAAGGGATAATTTTTATAAGATTTGTACTAGAACATACAGAAAAGCATAAATGTTACTAAAGAACAACATAAGACATTCATGAAAATTTGCACTGAATATTGTACAGATGACAATTATCTCTACCAGTTAAAACTGGATTTGATGCCTGTATTAGTCCATTGTCACACTACTAATAAAGATATTCCTGAGACTGGAGAGTTTATAAAGGAAAGAGATGTAATTGACTCACAGTTCAGCATGACTAGGGAGGCCTCGGGAAACTTACAATCATGGCAGAAGGGGAAGCAAACATGTCCTTTTTCACATGGTGTCCGGAAGGAGAGGAATGTGAACCAAGTGAAGGAGGAACCCCTTATAAAACCATCAGATCTCATGAGAACTTACTATCACAAGAAGAGCATGAGGGTAACCGCTTCCATAATTCAATTACCTCCCACTTGGTCCCTCCCATGACACATAGGGATTATGGGAACTACAATTCAAGATGAGAGTTTGGTTGGGACATAGCCAAACCGATGTGTACACAGAAACATATTAACATCAGAGTCTATTTTACTCATTCAAAATTTTTGGTCAGAACCTTCATGGCTTGGTGAAGCTACTCAATGAATTCATCAATATCTCAGGCTTCTTTTATCTTTCTCTTGCATTAATCTTAGCATGAACATATTTTGAAGATAAACATAATTTTATTGAACACGAGATATGCGGCTATAAATGAAAGCTAGAAATATCAATAACTACAAGTTTTTGAGTATCAATTTGAAGAACAGAGTTGTTATCAACGGAGATTGATAAGATGCTGGTAGAAATAGGGTAGATCAGTAGCTCATTATCAGTAGTTATGTAGGAAAGTGCATGTACAAGCCTCACATGTCTATTCTGGAGATGTAATTTGGGATCATAATCATACACAGATGTGAGTTAATGTAATGATACTGAAATTTATCCTCAAAGGAATATATGCACATAGAAAAGAGGACCAAGGACTGAGCCCTGAAAGAGTCCAACAGTATAAGTTAGCACAGGAGTGGAGAAACAAGCAAAAGAATCTTAAAAGTAGTGCCTATTGAATCAAGTGAAAACATAGGAGAATAAGGTGATTTGGAAAAAACTGAAAAGAATGAATTAAGGGCAGTTATCACAAAGAAAGGGCAACCAATGCAATGGAAGGAAAAAATTGCAAATCATATATTTGGTAATAATACATAAAGAATATATATGAGGAATTTCTACAACTTGAAAACAACAACCCAATTAAAAATTATCAAAGGATTTTCTGTTTTAGTCTGTTTTCACGCTGCTGAATACCCGAGACTGGGCAATTTACAAGAAAAAGAGGTTTATTCACTTACAGTTCCACATGGCTGGGGAGGTCTCACAATCGTGGTGGAAGGCAAGGAGAAGCAAATTACACCTTATGTGGATGATAGCAGGCAAGAAGAGAGCTTGTGCAGAGAAACTCCCATTTTTAAAACGGATCTTGTGAGACCCATTCCCTTTCACGGAGAATGGCATGGGAAAGACCCGCCCCATGATTCAATCATCTCCCACCGGGTTCCTCCCACAACAGGTGGAATTATGCCAGCTACAGGATGAGATTTGGATGGGGACACAGCCAAACCATATAAACTTAAATGTACATTTCTTAAAAAAACATATAGAAATGGCCAACAAGCCCATGAAAAGATGCTCAACATTACTAATCATTAGAAAAGCAATTCAAAAACCACAAACCACAATGAGATATCACCTTACACCCGTCAAGATAGGCACTATAAAAATAGAAAATAATAATGGTTGGCAAGAATGTGTAGAAGTTGGAACCCTTATGTACTGTTGGTGGGAATGTAAAATGTACTGCCATTATAGGAAACAGATTGAGGTGCCTCTAAAAATTAAAAATAGAATTACCATTTGGATATAGCCCCACTAGTAGAATATACCCAGCAATGCTACTACTGGGTATATATCCAAAGTAATTCAAAGCAGATTCCAAAATGATATTTGCATACTTTTGTCTACTATTGCCTTATTCACAATACCCAAGAAGCAAAAGAAACTCAAATTTCCACTGACGAATGAATGGGTTTAAAAATGTGTTTATATATATATATATATATATATATATATATATATATATAATAGAATAGTATTCAGTCTTTAAAGAGAAGAAAATCTTGTCTCATACTATAATATGGATGAACCTCAAGGTCATTAAGCTAAGAGAAATAAGCCAGTCACAAAAGGAAAGATACTGTATGATTCCAGTCACATAAAGCATGTAAAGTCATAAAAATTATAGAAGCACAAATAGAAAGATGATTACTGAGGTCTGGATAGAGGGGGAAGAATTATTGTGTCGTGAGTACAAAGTTTCAGTGTTGCAAAATGAAAAATATTATACAGCTCTTCTGCGCAAAATGTGAATGTACTTACTACTGAACTGTAAACTGAAAGGAAAGTATCTTGGGTCCCTTCAAGCTGTGAACTGCTCAGGACAAATCTGTCTCCCATTCTATTCAAAGTCATCTCTCTCCTTACAGGAATAGATGCATATTCTGATTGCCTCTTCTGGAAAGACTTATCAGAAACTCAAAAGAACACAACCATCTGTCTCTCACCTACATGTGACCTGGAAGACCCCAGTTGGCGGCAGTGGGGTGGGCCTTGCTTTGATCTCTTTCCCCCTTTCTAGATGGAACTAATGTACTTTTACATAGATTGATTGATGTCTCATGTCTCCCTAAAATGTATAAAACCAAGCTGTGCCCCGACCACCTTGGGCACATGTCGTCAAGACATCGTGAGGCTGTGTCACGGGTGCATCCTCAACCTTGGCAAAATAAACTTTCTAAATTAACTGAGACCCGTCTCAAGTTTTGGGGGTTTACAACACTTAAAATAGTTAAGATGGTAAATTGAATGTTATGTATTTTTTTTGTTACATTAAAAAAAGGATAAACTTAGAGCTCATGTCAAATGTTTCTGTGAGATCAAGCAGAAAATGAAGATCAAAAATAGACCATTGGTTTTAGCGACATTGACTCATTGGTAATTTCAAGAGCTATAGTTTTGATAGCTTGGTGAAAGCTAGATTGTTTTGATTCAGACAGGAATGAAAATGGGATTTGAGCCAGTGAGATTACATAATTATTTTATTTTTTGAAGTATTTTGTCCAAGGCGGAGCAAGTAAATATAGCTGTAGCTGGGTAGATATTTAGAAACCTCCCTTTCTCTCTCTCTGAGACAAATGAGTTCCTTCCACCTGTGAGCCTGTAAAATCAAAAGCAAGTTAGTTACTTCCTAGATACTATTGGGGTATAGGCATTGGGTAAACACACCCGTTACAAACAGAAGAAATTGACCAAAATAAAGGGGCTACAGGCCCCATGCAAGTCTGAAATCCAACAAAGTAGTAATTAAATCTTAAAGCTCTGAAATAATCTTGGAGAATCTCTCACTATATCGATATAGATATCTATATATCTCTCTATATATATAGACAAATATCTGTCTATCTTTAGTAAAAACTAAATCCATGATGTTGCAGAGAGAAAAGAGTGTTAATTGATGTTCTTCCATAGCTGAAAGGAGTTAGGATCTAGTGTACATATAGAACGACTTGATTTTGATGGGAGCATTCATATTTGTAGGTTAATAGCTGAGAGCAATATATGTGTAGATGTAGTGGTGTGAATTTTTGAATGGTTCCACACTGGCTGCTGTTGTTTATTTCCGCTTCAGTTTTTCTCCTGCCTTCCTGGCAAGGGAAAATATAATGAAATAACGGTGAGAAAACAATAGCGTTTATGTCAGGAAAGCAAAATTATCCCAGATATTCTCAGCAAATATCATTTATGGATATTCAATGGCCACCATTTTATCTAATGCTAACAAATGTTTTGCTTTATTTTTTCTAGTTGAGCATTTTATTGCCCTGGAAAAGATTGTGGTTTTGTTGCAAGGAAGAAGAGAAGAATGACATTTTTGTGGGTAAGAGGCCATCTATTTTATATTCAATGATTATCTCAAAATAATCTTTCTTAGAAATTGACAAGCTGGAGTTAAAACTCTTATAGACAAGAAAATTGCCAAAGAAAAAATGTTTAATAAAAAAAGGGTAACACATGTGTGTATTTAGTGTCTGGCTATTAAAGTATTAGCAAGCAATAGTAATTAAATGAGAAATGCTTCAGTTATAAACATTTATTAATATGACACAATATGGTCCAGAAAAATTATAATTCTAATGTGAACTAGAAGCCTTGACACTCCTTTTGGCTTGACTAAGATATTTTCCCGACTCTAAGCCCCTGTCCCTCCATTTTTTGAGCGCTGGTTTTAGAAAACCTGTAATGATTTTTCAGCTACATTGAGATGTAAATTATCTCCAAAACTCTTGCCATTTTTACAACCCAGGAATGCCTTGGACCTTGGAATTATCCCTCTAAAATGTAATCTTTAAGAACAGTAGAGCCTGTATCTTCCTCCGTCTGTGGGAAGATAAGGACCTAACTTCAGTAAACGTCAATTAACAAGCACATTGGCCTAATTTCACTGGCCAACCCTCATTTTAATGTCCTCCAGTTATTTTCTCACTAAGGCACTTCGGTGCTTAAAAACTCTCCTGCATTTTTTTTTCCAGAAGAATTGGGTTCTGTCTCCCAATTAGGATAGACTTGACTGCAACTGAAATAGCCTTGAAGTCTTCCTTGCCTGCTTAACTCTCTCCTGCAATTTCTCTTTGACAAATGAAACTGTATGTGATGGCAGTGATATTACAAAGCTATAAAATTCTATGATTCTTTATTCATAAAATTGCATGAGAAGATTGGGTATCCAATTGGAGAAAATATTTCTGTTTCACACTAATTGCAAAAATAAAATCCGAGTAAGTTAAAAATATAAATGCTAAATAAACTCATGAAATTATAAAAATGTAGGCTAATGCAGTTATTATTTTATTCATAAAAATATATTTTGTGTGCTTAATTTGTTTAGGAGGCTAGTATAAGCACTAGAAACTTATAAGACATATTATCCTTGCTGTCATTAAAAATATGAATCTAAAGAAAACTACCAAACCAAATATTTAATACTTCTGTACTTAAAAAGATGTTATACAAATAGAATAAATATTAGACAACCTAAAAGAAAATATATCATACACACATGCTCACACACACACACATACACACACATACACACATATGTAAGAAGGCATTGCCTATCATGGTGGATCATGCTTGTAAACTCAACCATTTGGAGGGTTGAGGCAGGAGGATCACTTGATGCCCAGAGTTTGAGAACACCCTGAGCAACATAGCAAGGCCCCGTCTCTGCAAAAGATAAAAAAGTGAGATGGGAGTGGGGGTGTGCACCTGTAGTCCCAGTTACTCTGGATGCTAAGCCAGGAGGATCACTTGGGCCCAGGAGTTCAAAGACACTCATCTCAAAAAAAAAAAAAAAGGAAGAAGGAAAAAAGAATATGTTGACTATATCTATAAGACAAAAAGTAGAAGTCTGCAAAGGAAGCCGGGCAAAACATATGAAGAGGTAATATGTAGAAGAGCAACTTGGTTACAAAATATTTAAAAAGGAAGCTCATGCTTTATAAATAAGCAATGCAAATAAGCAAAAACAAAGCGAAGTATATCATTCAAATAATTACAACTAATAATACATAGAAAAGTTTGGAAAATATTTAACAATGATTATATCGACTATCGTGAACAAAAGTTATCACATCAACATTTGAAGTGTAATTTCGCCTTATTCATGTAAAAACACCATGATATTGCAAAGCCAATTCTTAGTATATAACTAAAATAAGTGAGTTAAGCAAAGAATGCATGTACAAGAAAATATTGCAGCTTTGTGGTACAGAGAAAAGAACAAAAACAAAGAGTAAAAAAACAGAATTGGGTGACTCAAAAAGTAAATCGCAACACAGCAATTTAAAAATATACTAGAATATATGGCCTAGAATGAAAAGATAATTTGGTTAGTGCAAAACAACAAATAGGGTGAATTGAATTCCAGACACATATTGAAATAGGATCTCACATACGAATATACATATGCATAAAACCCCATTGTGTATTTTCGTGGAGGCCTATAAAAATTGAATAAATAAATACAGAGACACAGATTGAAATCAAATGCATAAAGCTTTATACAGCCAGAGGACTTTGACCTTATATTCAATGTGTAAATTTGTACAATGAGAATGTAGTCTGGCATTATTTGGGAATTAAATTACTGCACAGAATAGAAAATCATCCCTAAATGTCTTAGAAATAATAATAATATTTTAAAATATGATAGCAGTATCAAATTGCTGGTCTCAAAGAAGAGTACTAGAAAATGAGAGTTTCCAAAGAAAAGTATATTTCATTTAAGTTGGTTCTTATATAAAGTATTAATTAAATAAGTATGATCAAAATATTTGACTGTGGGAATATTTATCTTAATATTTCAAGGGATTTTGGTATAGGGGCTGTTTAACTTTGTGGCTTTAAAATTTCTTATTTTAATTTCTGACTTCACTAGATAATTCCTATCAGTGTGATCTAGAGTAAGGTATTAACTATCTCTATGAGAAAACACAGTACATGAAATAACTTCTACTTAATATGTTTATCATGTGCTTCAAAAGCATTTAACTATGTCAAATGCTTGAAAAAATACCCAAGACACAGTAACAATTCAATAAATGTATGCTGTTTATAATTTCTAAAAATAAAAGTAACATAGAACAGGATATGTATGTACTAACTCAAAAGCAATTCATTTTGATAAAATCATAAGGGTTGTTATTTTTAAGTTTTATCTAAAACAAAAACAGGCATGGTTTTGAAACAATTATATATATAATATATAATTTAATTAATATAATTACATTGGCTCAATATGCCAGTGTAATTTTTGGCATATTGAAATTATATGCAAAGGGAAATGCAAATGTTAATTGAATAAATAGGTACAGAAAAATAGATGGAAATCAAATGGATAAAACTTTATTCAGGCATGACCTGTATGAGGAGGACTTTGGCTTTATATTTGCATTTCCCTTTGCATATAATCTCAATATGCCAAAAATATTATCACTATCTCTGCCTCTGACAATTCACTCACCCACAACCCCACACTGAGGCCTGCACAAAATATACTTCAATGACTGATGCTCATCAAAGATAGGAAGTATTACTTCATTTGTTTATTTCTCAGTAACTCTTTGCAAGTCCTTTAACTACAGGAAAAACACAAAATCGCGGTGGCTCAAATCTTCTACCACTTACTTCGTAACTAAAATATTCGTATCATTTCTCAGTCAGGCAAAAATGACAATAGCAAGATTATTTCTTATGGTGATTAAAACAACAAAAGCAACACTGTAGATTTAATGCACCCATAGTATGTTCACTTAAAAATATCATAATATTATTGCAAAGAATCATGAAAACTTGACTTTATAAACGAAATTTGATCACAATATTTTAATATTCTTCATTAAATCAAGATTTGGAAATCTGACAAATTTCTGTTCAACCAAGAGGCTCACAATAATATCAGCCAAATATTCCTACAGGCAATATACTATCTAAACATAGAAGTAGTTTCTGATATACTAAGCTATATTTCTTAAGGCTGATAGTAATTACAATCATAATGTAACTAAAATTTATATGTAGAAAATTTAATAAGGAGGCTGATGTTTAAAATTAGTTTTGCTTTTCAATTGTCTGCTTTCTGTCACTTTCTAAAACTATAAAAGAAGTTTGGTAGTGCGCAATTTAACAGGCTGTGGGGGGTATACTTAGTTTACAAGTATAATATTTTTCTAGAATATGAATTGGATACTCTGTTTGCAGTTACATACTGGTAACTGTCTGAATGGCATGTGCTATTTTCTTTCAAAATATGCTCATTTTACATATAATTTAGTCAAATAGTTTAAATTTTGCATAGCAGATTGCGTTACATGCATAATTCTTTCTTTTCATTGTTTATGAAATGTTTAAAATACATTTGACTCATTTAAGCTCTCTACTAAATCTATACCTCTTTGTCTTAAATTTGTTCCTTATTTGAGTTTTACATTCTAAGAACCTCAATCGCAATTTAGCACTTATAAAACAGAAAGACTTTGCACTTTTATGGAACTTACAACTCATTTCTGGAAATTATGTTCCATCTGTCACTTCAGCAAATTTCAAGTGTTTCTTTTTATCAGTATTTTAATGCTCTATAATTTAATTTAGAATGATTTCTAAAGATGACTCAAGTTCTTAGTAACTATGAAATCTCTTCTAGTGGAAACAAGTTAAAATACTTAAAATTATTTGTGTTTTATTTTCAACTACTTTCATTAACTAGAGATATCTTTCGCCATCTTGAGAAATACATTTTTAATCATTTAAATGAAAAAATTAACAGATGGGCAATTCCACTTATTGGAAAGACTTTGGATTTAGAAGCAAGAGACATGAGTTCAACTACTGTCTCTGTGATTTCATATTTTTATAGCTTTAGTAAAACTGTATATTCTTTTTTTTTTTTTTTTTTTTTTTTGAGACGGAGTCTCGCTGTCGCCCAGACTGGAGTGCAGTGGCTCGATCTCGGCTCACTGTAGGCTCCGCCCCCGGGGGTTCACGCCATTCTCCTGCCTCAGCCTCCTGCGCAGCTGGGACTACAGGCACCCGCCACCTCGCCCAGCTAATTTTTTGTATTTTTAGTAGAGATGGGGTTTCACCGTGTTAGCCAGGATGGTCTGGATCTCCTGACCTCGTGATCCGCCTGCCTCGGCCTCACAAAGTGCTGGGATTACAGGCGTGAGCCACCGCGCCCGGCCAAAACTGTATATTCTGAATATGTTTCCTTCATTCATAAAGTCAAGTTTGAGATAATTTTATTTTATAGTTATTCAGTCACTATTGGTTGATCTCTACCTATGTACCAATATGCTTCTGACTGCTGAAGACATAGCATTGAAAAGAAAAATCCTTATTCTAAAAATTTTGAAGACATTTGGTTGGGTAAGAGTGAAAAATAAACAAAATTAAAGAGTAAATAAAATTAATAGGTTAGACTCTATCCTTTAGATGATACTTCTTTTGAAAATAATAACAGAAAACAATTATATAGCAATCATTGGATGTGGGGGAGAAATTCAAATTTTTCTGTTTGTTAAGATAAATTATAAGTAAAGTGCCTGTGACCATCTTCTTGGAATTTCTAAAGCAGTATATAAATATTGGTTTTTATGTCAAATATATAACTACATTATACATTCCATAGTTTAACTGTATATATTAATTAATCAATGTTTAAGGACTTTTTTTTACTAGTTTATCTAGGTTAATCACAGGTAGGATCAAAGTAAATTAAAAGTAGCTCATTTTATGTTTTGTTTTGTTTTTCCTTTACCTTCAAGACTTGCAAAATATTGCTTTTTTCTGCAATAGACATAGAAAAAATAACCATATTTAGGCAAATTTTAAAATTCTGAAGTAAAATATCAAGGGATGAAAGATTGAAAAAGACCAAAAGCTAAATCAAGCAAATGAAGAAACTCATAAAAAGCTATATACAGATGCATGATTAAATTGAGAAGAGAAAGTGCCATATCTAAAAAGGAACTAAGAGGCAGATGAACATGACATGTTACACAGAGAAAAGGGATGGAGGAAAATGGGTTGAGAGGCTTGGCATTTTGTTTTTGTATGTATATGCCTCTACAGTTTACAGTATCTATGTTAAGTTCAGTTCTTGAGACACCAATTTCATTGCTAGTAATGAAATAGTAACATTTTCTTTACTAGGAAAACAGTTTCTTTTTATATGGTTTCTTTATATTCTTATGAATTCTTTTTTTTTTTTTTTTGATAAAGAGTCTCACACTGTTGCCCAGGCTGGAGTGCATTGGCACAATCTCGCCTCACTGCAACCTCCGCCTCCCAGGTTCAAGTCATCCTTCTGCTTCAGCCTCCCAAATAGCTGGGATTACAGGTGCGTGCCACCATGCCCAGCTAATTTTTGTATTCTAATGTTTTATATTCTAATGTTTCTATATATGCTTAAAGGTTACTTAACCTTTGAAAATTATTTTCCAGTTGGGAAATGTTTGTGAATGAAATTGCTATAAACTTGCTTCACGTATAAATCATGCCTGATTTATATGAATTTGTTTCAAAATAAGAATATCTAAATTCTGTAATAAGAGATAACTTTTAATTTACACTTCACTATATTTTTATTTTTATTTTTATTTTTCTGTGCCCCACCCCCACCCCTCACAGGCCATTACAGCACCTTTTGTCTTCTTAGCTCTTAGCTCTTGTTTAACTATTTGCAACAATCCAGGCTTGTTTATCTTTTTTGCAACGAACTTCATAGAACATGGCTCTATACTTCAAGAGCATAGAATGTATGCATTTACTTGAAAAAGAAAAAAAAAGAAAATAGTGTAGGTTTATTCTTATCTCAAAATGAGATGTCAAATCACTAAAATATCTAATCCCTTCTTCCAAATGAGAATGGAAATTGACTTCTTTTTGTTAAACCAAGAAAATATTTAATAGAAGTTGACAGTACACTTCCTGTTTTCTATTCTAGACTAGAACTAGGATATTTGATTTCTTCTACTGGAAGGGCAATCAAGAAATTGAGTGTCTGGCAAAAGAAATACCATTTTTCATGACAGACTCAAATAAATTGTGATTTATTCCCCCAAGCTGAGCACTGTCATCACTTTTCCTGAGGTAAAAGGAGTGAAGAGTGGTTTCTGAATAGAAAACAAATAATAGATTTATTGAAGTCATTATTATAACCAAATATAATTTTATCAAAATATCCTTTCATTTTTATATGTTCAGTTACATTGTGAAAATTTTACATATATATATATACACACACACACAGACATATATACATATATATATATACACACACATATATACACACACACACACACACACACACACACACAGAGAGAGAAAAGGAGAGCAGGGAGTCAGTTGGGTGTTATGCTGTTTAAAGCATATCGATTTATGAGTTTATTAATCTATATTGTACTGCAATTGTGGCTGAGTTTCATAGTTTTCTCTGATTATCTGTGTCTCTCCTGTCTTTTTAGTACCATAACCCTTTATGTTGCTGAAAATTTCTAAGATTTCTTTGCCAGCAGATTTCCCTATCTAGCTAAATCTCTGGCAATGACATGTAAAATGATGTGTCCTTATGTAATTCTAGAAAAAAAAAATCCCTAAAATTTGAGGGAAGTGCCCTTATCAGCTATTTTTCCTGTTTTCTTACATGTACAGGTAGAAAATGGAGATCCAGCAGCCATCTTGGCTTATGACATTATTGGAAATATTAGTGTAGAAAGAAAGAGAGAGCCTGGGTCCTGTAAATAAAAGTTCTCTGGAAAGTAATTTAGAGGAAATAGACTTTATTTCAGTTAAGAGCTTGCAAACCAGAGATACACAGCCTGTAAAATAAAGGTACAGTCCAGAAAACAAAGGGAGGATTTCTCTTTTTCAGAAATGATTCTGCCCAGGTGTCCACTCAGGTCTGCTTATGCAAATGAAACATGCAAACTTGCTTAGTTCTGAATGATTGATGCTTGCTGAGTTCTGATTGACCGACACAGATCACAGTCTATTGATTGGTTTAGGTGGTGAGAACAAGAGAAGGCAGCTACGAAAGCCTCAAACTTTAGCAGGCCTGTGGATTTTCTAGGAACTCAAAGTATGAGTGTCACCTCTAGTCAGCAAATGGCCATTTGATTCAAATTTAAATTTAGACTCAGTTAGCCGCTTAGGATGCTTCTTGAAGGATTGGCTCATTCCTGGGTCGCAGTCTTAACACCATGTAGCCATCACAACACAACAAACTGCCTACCTCCGAAATACTTTCATGTGAGAAATAAAAATTTGTATGCTTTTTGATAGAAGTCTAATATTTTATGACTTTATAGCTAAATGCTATCCAATTGATATAAATGTATGAATAGTCTTTCTGTTCTCTTTTTAAATACTATGTCCTTGTAATTTTTGGATGGGTAAAGTTGCTATTCTCTTTTTCTCATTATTAATAAGAATGTTCAAATCTACTTTTCCATTGTCTTATCAACTGTCATCTTTTTTTTAGAGACACATTTATTTTATAGTGTGAAAAATAGTGTATTTTTCTAGAAATGTGATACACAAGATATCTAGCAAAATTCTTGTAACAACAAATATTTAAAATATGTTTGTAATATATAGTTTCACTGGAGATACTTAAACAATGCACTGGATGCCTAAATTTATGAGAAAGAGGGGACAAAGAGATTGGTAATTTCTGAAGTTGGTGTTTGTTCTGGGGACAGCTCATCACTTCTGGGCTGAGAGTAGAATTTAAATGGGGCCTATTATGTATAAGAAAAAAGGACAGTATGTAATTGCAGATTAGAGTTCAACAATTAATTCAGGCTCACCTAACAGTTTAAGTGAATACAAAGAAAATACAGGACTCTCAGAGGGAAAAAGTTACAGTTATTTTTTGCAACCTAGACTGTTCATAGATTGAAATAGAAAGAAGGAAGAGATAAGGAAAACAGAAGGAAGAAGGGAGGAAGGAAAAGAAGGAAAGAAAAGAAAGAAAAAAAAGGATGAGATAAAGGGACAAAAGCAGAATGACACTGGAAAAGAGTTCAGATAGCTCGTACAAACCATTACCCCTTCCCCTACAATAAAGCCATATATATAAAAAATATATATTATATATCATATATAAAATATATTTAATATATATTTTATATATGATATATAATACATTTTATTTTATTTTATTTATTTATTTAGTTTTTTGAGCTGGAGTCTCACTCTCTTGCCCAGGCTGGAGTGCAGAGGCACAATCTCTGCTCACTGCAACCTCTGCCTGCTGGGTTCAAGTGATTATACTGTTTCAACCTGTCTAGTAGCTGAAATTGCAGGCATGTGCCACCACCCCCAGCTAATTTTTGTATTTTTAGTAGAGATGGGGTTTCACCATATTGGCAAGGCTTGTCTCAAACTCCTGACCTTAGGTGACCCACCCAACTTGGCCTCCCAAAGTGCTGGGATTACAGGTGTGAGCCACTGCGCCCGGCCCAACAGATATATTTTAAATTAGTTTTGAGGTGGTAGTATGGAAAGGTCCAAACACATGTAGGAATTTTATTTTAACACAATTCTTACACATTACCATAAAGTTTAAATAATGTCACCTAAGTCAGTACAAAGAAAATTACAAAACTGGATGCACAGAGAGTGAATATATAACAAATATTGGAGAATTTCATATAAAAAGAAAGGGATAGAAGTAAAAAAGAATATCAATATTATCACTAAGAATGACCAATTATTAAAATTTGCTCAGCAGATTTGAAAAAGAGAAAAATATAATATTGTGAAGTGAAACATTTAGTAATTGAGTGCAGGAACTCAATGTGTGAAATACACAGAAAATTTTGTAGACTATAAGACAATATTAGTTGGCTAAGTCAGATTTATTCCTAAAATGCCATCATTGTGCAAGAAACAAAACTCATTCCATGGAATACACCACATTAACTTAGTAAAGGGAAGAAGCAACGATAACAACATATGAACATCTCAAATGATCCAGAAAAACATTTGATAAAAGTCAACAAAATCGAATCATAAATTCGCTCAAAAAACTGGGAATAGAAGGAAACTATGTCGACATGATGAAGGCTGTATGTGACAATTCACAGCCAACATCATACTCAATAATGTAAGACTGGAAGCTTTTTCTCTAAGATTGAAAATGAAACAATTTTGACCATCTTAAATCCTTCTACTCAACATAGCATTGGAATTCCTATCCAGAACAACTAGGCAATTTTAAAAAGCCTTCCAAATTTGAAAGGAAAAAATAAAATTACTTCTGTTCACAGATTACTTTATATTATATATCGTAAAAATACATATAATATTTCATACCCCCTCACAAATACACAAAAGCTTGTCAGAATTAATTTTAAAAATTAGCAAAATTTTGGGATACAAAATAACACTCATATCTGTTGCATTTCTATATGCTAAAAATGAATAATTCTAAAAAGGTAATTGAAACAACAATTCCATTTACGATGGCATCAAAAAGAACAAACTTCTTGGGAATAAACTGAAGGAGGCAATGTACACTGAAAACTTAAAAAACATTGCTGAAAGAATTAAAGAAGACATCAACAAATGAAAAAACAACTTATGTTTATGGATTGAAAGACAAATTTGTTAAAATATCAATACTACCTAAAGTAATCTACAGATTCAGTCCATTATCTATTGTAATCCCAATTATAAATTGCTAGATGAGCCTGCAATAATTGTCAGACTCTAATCTGCATTTGCACATTGTCTTTTTTTTCTTCTACATAATAGGCCCTATTTAAATTCTGCTTTCAGCCCCAGTCTCAATTGCACTTTCTTTGCAGAAATTTAAAAAAAAATTACTCTAAAATTGATGTGGAACCTCAAGCAACCCCAAATAGACAAAATAATCTTGAAAAAGGACAATCAGAACAATCATGTTTTCTGATTTTGAGACTTACTTTAAAGCTACAGATATCAAAACAGTGTCATATTAGCATAAAAAGACAGGCATATAGACCAATGGAACAAGATAGCCCAGAAATAAGCCCTCACATATGTGTTCAAATGATTTTTAACAGGGTACCAAGATGACTCAGTGTGCAAAAAACAGTATTTTCAACAAATGGTATTGGGAAAACTGGATAGTCATATGCAAAAGAGTAAAGTTGGACTCAGGTTACTCCATATATAAAAACTAACTCATATGCATCAAAGCCCTAAACATACAAACTAAAACTATAACATTCTCAGAAGAAAATATGGGAAAAGTTTTGTGACACTGAATTTGCCAATTATTTTTTAGATATGACACCATGAACACAGGCAACATAATAAAACAATAATAAATTAGACTATATCAAAATTTAAAACTCTTGTATATCAAAGGATGCTAACAGCATAAAGTAAACACAACCTATGGTTTGGGAGAAAATATTTCCAAATCATGTATCTAGTAAGGGATTAACATTCAGAATATATAAAGAAATCCTAAAACTCAAGAACAACCCCAACAATTTCAAAATGGGCAAAGGAATACACACACACACACACACACACACACACACACACATAATGCGTTTCTGTGAGTAAACTGAGAGATTCACATGAAGAAATCATGAAAAAATGCAACATGAAAGAAAGGTTTAGAAATAAGAAATAGAAAAAAACCTTTTTTACATTGGTTTCTAATAGAAGATAATAAAAAGAGTGGAAGAGAAATGAACTTTCATGGAAACCTTTTTTTTAATTATTATTTTTATTTTTTTGAGATGAAGTCTCGCTCTGTGGCCCAGGCTGGAGTGCAGTGGGGTGATCTTGGCTCACTGCAAACTCCGCCTCCCAGGTTCAAGCAATTCTCCTGCCTCAGCCTCCTGCGTAGTTGGAATTACAAGCGCCCGCCTAATTTTTGTATTTCTAGTAGAGATGGGGTTTTGCCATGTTGGCCAGGTTGGTCTCCAACTCCTGACCACAGGTGATCTGCCCACCTTGGCCTCCCAAAATGCTGGAATTACAGGTGTGAGCCACCGCGGCTGCCCAAGAACCCTTTATAATTGACCATTCTTCTGGGCATTACTCTTGCAGTAAATGAATACCTAGCTTCTTGTTTACGGTAGCAGCTTCTTGCCTTCAGAAGTGAAGAATTGAGAGGAACATGAATGCATTCATCGGATCACCAGCTTCCCAATGACATTGCTAAAATTCCTTTGATTTAGTAATATTTGCTGAATATGTTTTTCTTATATTTCATAAACCTTCTTTGTAATCATTTAGTCAATTAAATGTGAATATATGCTTTCGAGTATCATGTTGCTCTATTTGCTTTCAGTATATTTGAGTGCGAATTATTGCATTTACTTATGCTGATAATTCTTCTCTAACTTGCAATTGTGCTTTCCAATTGTTAATTTTTTGTTCAACTTTATCCTATATGCTTTTGGGTACAAAAACACCTGTATGCAAGAATTTTGAAGATGTTTTTGTTAGGGATTAAGGGCTACACACTAATTGGGCTATATTTTATTTTAAATGTTAAGTTGTATTTTCTCGTAGCAAAGATAAAATATTATTTCAGAAATCAACCTTATACTTCGCACCGGTTTGAGATTTCAATTTTCTGTAGTTTTTTCTGTCTACCTTGACAGTTGGAAAATAGCAAGCCTTGGGCTGCAGTCCTGGCCATTGTCCTTTTATCTCCCAACCCCCTTATTTACTCTGGAAAATACGTCAGTGCTCCAGTGTTGCACACAGTGTATGTTAGTTGTAGCTCTCTAACACCCATTACATAAGTTCTAAAAATCTTAGGTCAAGGAGGCTTTAAAATCCTAATGTTTACCTCCAATCAGTTATATCTGTATCTAATACTCCTGTGGTCCAGAAAGACTTAGATTTTTTTTTTTTTTTTTTTTTTTTTTTTTTTTTTTTACTAATGTGGCACAGCGTTCTTTTATATTTTTTGCCACAGAGGTTTCCATTTCTTTGTTTTGTGCTTGACATATATGTTGAAGTTTCAGGATATTTTCTATAACTGTGTGTATTTGTAGTAGAAAAGGGACACTTCTACATCAGCCTCGTTTGCCATTATTTCCTAAAGTCCTTATAATGCCTTCCGTAATACGTGTGGGTACACAGTATTATAGTAGAACAGGATGGAATGAATCTACCTCATTATGCCTGAGATGGTAATGAAAAATCTTATAAGTGATATGATAAATAATAAGTAGATGTTTAATGTAGTTAAAGCATACCAGACAATGGGGATAGGAAGTGAAATAATTTAATGACAGAAAGAAAGCCATTTAGCATAACGCAGATAGTTAACAATTTCTAAAGTTATGGATGAATATGCAGGAGTTTTATTAATATAAACTCATAGATTTGTGAGTATAAACTATCTTGGGTCATTCCAGACTAATTTCTTATTGCTCAGATGTGCTCTGTATTCCTGTATCTCTAAACATTTTTATATTTGGAATACATTTTCTCCACTACTACCATCACATTCTACCCATGAATCACAAGCTGCATCTCCAGCATTAAGATCTTCTTAACTCTTCATCCTCTCTCCCTGTTGTTTTCTCTCCTTCTGTTCATATTTTTAAAAATATTTCTGCATTTGTTTTTTGATGTTTTTAAAATAGGATGACACTGCTATATTTCACTTTATTTAATTCTCAGAAAACCCAAAATAAATCATTATCAATCCCCTACCTTTAACAAATAAGACAAATACTTATCTTTCCAACTATTTTGCAATAATTAGGTAGCAGAGCAAAGATTAGAACTAACACTTCTTAACTTCTTCTAAAACGTCTCTGCTTGAGGACCAAAGAACCTGTCTTTTTCGTTTTTTTTGGGGGGCATGGTTCCTGACATGAGGAGTCTCACATTAAGTCAGAGTTCATTAAATGCTTGTTGAATTTAATTGACTCAGCTCTTTTCTAATCCACTCCCTACCTCAAAGTCTAAAGAAGAATTGCCTTTTCCAGGCTGGCACATTGGGCCTTCCTATAAAAAGCAGCGGCTATTGCCGTTTCTCCAGGAAGATATGAATAATGACTTCAATTTTATGGCTATCAATAGCAGAAAATTAGTGACCGAAAGGCTAATACAGAGTAGAAATCTGAGGATGGTTAGCAACTAAAACAGCTGTGTCTCACCATCTTCTCTGTTAACATTCTCTAAAAAAAAAAAAAAAAAAAAAAAAAAAGTGTTTTTCTTCTCTCTAGTCACTAGCACCATAGTGGAACCAGTAAGAGCCTTCTGTATGTACTGTCAATCATTGTCTCTTATTTACAAAAAATGCTATATGATTTCTAAGTTAAAATGCTTCATAAGCCATAACATTCAATACAAATATGTCTGTTCTATTATTATTATTACTATTACTACTACTATTAATGTATTAATAATATAATGAGTAATTGTTTGGTAAAGCAAAAATTAAGCAAGTGTGGAACAGCCTTAGAACTATAGCTTTGAATATTTTTTACAATCACGCATTCACATTAGCAGCTGCTGCTAAATTAACTGTGTGAAACAGCATTTATTCAGACAGTTTGCCTAGTTTTATGAAGTATCATTTAGCAAAGAGACTCAAAAATAAATTACATTTTTATCTTCAATTCTCCTTAAAGTTGGTAACTTGATTGTTCTTATACATGTCATAACATCTACACCTAAAATTATGCTGTTTATTACTAACAACACAAAGATGACATTGCTTGGGCTAAATTGTTGAAATCCTCAGTTAGCATTATTGAAGATAACTTTAAGGATCCTTCTGTAATCAGATTTCTTGTAACTCTAATTGGAATATGCCTGATCTAGTGTAGTTGTTAGTATTTAAACAAATGATTAGTTGCATAAATTTGAATTAAAACAAATAGTGATTTCTCCATAAAAATTAAAATTGAAAGAAAATAATACCAAGGATAACTTATGGAGTTATCTACAGGACAGTAAGAACTGACATACAATGAAGATCTCTTTTTTATGAGTTGAAATTTATTAATTATGTTACTGTTTACATTAGTAATTACAGTTAAAACCTGATATTTTTATAAATAAAATTTTCTGTTGCAAAATAAATTATAAGTGATTTATTAAAATATACCTATTCATATGTTAGCCCCCCTCTTTTTTGTGCTTATGAGAGAAGATACAGTGAAGAAAGGCAGAGATTCCTCAGGCATGTGATCTATTCAACTGCATTCACATGGACGCTACTTCTAAAATACTCACGATTTTAAAAATCGCGATTGATTTTATAAATTAGAAAATTCAGTGCTAAAAGGGCAGAATTTTATAAGGAAATGCCAGTCATCTCTATTACAAGATTCCATAATTTTGGTAATATAGCCTGCCTTTAAGTGACCCTCTTTTATATTTTCTGAACTTAATATATAGGTTACTTCTTTGGGTTAAGTCCAACAAAGCCAAGTTAAAAAGCAAATGTTCTCTATAAAGAAACATAAAAGCTATTATGATCATTTAAAACGTACCTTTGAATAATTTATGTTTGATCATAGTGGTTGAGCTTGAAATGAGAAAGAATATGAAACAGCAAGCTTTAATATAGTATAATAATTTTGGAGAATAACTATGGAGAAGTTAGTGGATGTACCAAAGACATATTAAAGACATTAGAATCTTGATATTCTTGTTCAAATTTGATCATTTCTAGCTATAGAAAACAAATTATGCATACTTCTCAATTTTACTTAAACTAGGTCCTTAAGAAAAACACATAAGAATTAGTGCTGTATGTGGAGTAAATATGGAGATTAACTTAATCCAAACTATAGTTGAGCCACTGAAAGTAAGAACTACACATTAACCTAGGATTCAAATACTAGGGAATGCCTTATTAACTGTGTTTATCTTGAGCAAACTGGAAATAACTCTTTCTACCTTTGTTTCCTAATCTATTGAGTGAGTATAATAATTCCTACCTTAAAGGTTATTATAAAAATTCCAGGAGCTTATGCAGGTAAGACACTTAAACCAATGTTTAGCTTGTCTTGAACAGTAAGGATCAACTATTGCCATGGATGTATGGTTGAAACCTAGGATTCTTCAAAGCCAGCAATGTGTTCATGTTGTCCCTTCACTGAAATAACATTCTAAAAATTGGAAATATTCTTACACCTATGTCTCTTATGTTATTTACTCTCACTAACATCACTTTATTACACAATTCAATTATCTGTAAAATACTACATTTAACCATATTAAATTGCCAATATTTGACAATTGTTCATCCTCAGAAAAGACAGTTTAAAATGACTCAATCTATTAATCGCCCTTAATTTTTCACTTTTCTTTTGACTCCCTGCTTCCCTCCCTGTTCCATCTATCTACTGTGCTGCAGCAAAATTAATATTCTAAAATATAATTTTGTAGTCTGACAGCTCTCAGAAATTCTTAGGATTCCACTGATACTTTATTTTTTTAAATTCAAATGTGGAACAAGATTCCCTGTAATTTTTCCCCAAAGGTAAATTTTCAAATAATATCTCAAAGATCATTAAACATGCTCCTTTGGCTCTGGGTGGCACAGTTGCTGCTACCCATATAGATGAGCCTACACTTTTCCTGTAACTGGGGGATCCTTAGGAGACTTCATTCATCTCAGGAATCCAGTAGTTGTGATTACAGTGCCCCAACTCCAATTCAAAACAGGACATTTTTTTTTTTTTTAAAAAGAGGATTTTGGTTTACACTATCTTTTGTTAAGCAACATTTTTCAGTTACTTCTGTGTTGTCTTTCCTCCTACTGATTTAACAAATCACTTGTCATTGTAAGCTGTGAGAAAAGCTATTTAGAGGGACAGTTACGCAAAGTGTACCTTTGCCTAAGACTTAGGGATGAACACTCTCAGAAATGTTCACCAATATTTCTCAAAATCTTGTCCCAAGGACACACTTGGGACTGTTTAGCCCCTCATCAACTCTTGACCATTATATCAACTTGATAGATAATATAGATATTAAATTGATACCAATTCTACACATTTCATATCTAAATAGAATATGTATTCGTCCTATGACAAAAGGCTGCTGGCATTTTACTTGAGGGACTGATACACAGAGTGGGAAATGAATATTAGAAACCTGTGACGGTACCTAAAGGGGTAATAAGACACAGAAAAACTATCAAAGGGAGCTAGGTTTCAGCTTCCTGTATTGAGCTTCTATTCTCCAACACTGACTCTATTACTATGAATAATTTTAGGCTTGCTAATGGCTTCTATTCTCTGAATATGCTAATGTTCTTCTCAGTTTCAGATCTTTTAATCTTCATAGTCTTCCATTTAAAATTTCTTCTTGTAACATTCAAATCTTACTCTTTATTGAGGCTAATAGTGATAGTTTCCTTTGAAACCTTCACTCGGCAGTAGAACATAGTATAAGATGAGGGGGTGCAATTTTTTTCAATTTTCCCAATATAGTCCTGGTTTGAGTCTGTGGCCCCAGAAATTATTAATAGCACCCCTTTTCATATTCACAAATTTTCTGTTTTGGATGATAAATTAAATAATGACAACGAAAAATAATATTGATGTAGCAGTAATGTTTGTTATTCATGAAGTTTGTATAAATTTGAAGCTCCCACAATTTCATTATTTTTAAGCATACAATGAAATGACATGAATTTTAAAGTATTAGTAAATAAGTAATATTTCAGGTGCCTCATAATTAATCTCTCTGAAATAATTACATGTTTTTGTTTTATAATTCCAATTCACACATCTCATACTGTATATTATATGTATATATTTTTAACTTAAAAGCTTTTAACTAATTTAAGACATATTATCTCTTCTGTGCCTTTTTCAGAATTTAATCTGCTACAAATATAATGTGATGTATGAACAGAAAAATATTGTTTAATAAAATTGTGAATGGAAACATTTGCTTTAATGACTTTTTCTTTTTATTTTGTAAAACTGATAACCAATAATAAAAGTGGAGATTGTAGGGATACAAAAATATTAGCAATCCAACTCCAATTGTTTTGTTATGTTAAAAAATAATTATCTAGTAAATAAAACACAACCTTGTCAACCCAACAAAGCAATAACTTTAGGTGATAATCATTATATAGAACACAAATAGGCAAGCACTAAATTCAGAGCCACTTTTCACCTTGAAGCAAATCACAAGTGGTGGTCAAGAATCTGAGACAGGGACGCCCTCTCTCACCACTCCTATTCAACATAGTGTTGGAAGTTCTGGCCAGGCAATCAGGCAAGAGACAGAAATAAAGGGTATTCAATTAGGAAAAGAAGAAGTCAAATTGTCCCTGTTTGCAGATGACATGATTGTATATTTAGAAAACCCCATCGTCTCAGCCCAAAATCTCCTTAAGCTGATAAGCAACTTCAGGAATGTATCAGGATACAAAATCAATGTGCAAAAATCACAAGCATTCTTATACACCAATAACAGACAAACAGAGAGCCAAATCATGAGTGAACTCCCATTCACAATTGCTTCAAAGAGAATAAAATACCTGGGAATCCAACTTACAATGGATGTGAAGAACCTCTTCAAGGAGAACTACAAACCACTGCTCAACAAAATAAAAGAGGACACAAACAAATGGAAGAACATTCCATGCTCATGGATAGGGATAATCAATATCGTGAAAATGGCCATACTGCCCAAGGTAATTTATAGATTCAATGCCATCCCCATCAAGCTACCAATGACTTTCTTCACAGAATTGGAAAACACTACTTTAAAGTTCATATGGAACCAAAAAAGAGCCCATGTCACCAAGTCAATCCTAAGCCAAAAGAATAATGCTAGAGGCATCACGCTACCTGACTTCAAACCATACTACAAGGCTACAGTAACCAAAACAGCATGGTACTGCTACCAAAACAGAGATATAGACCAATGGAACTGAACAGAGCCCTGAGAAATAATACCACGCATCTACAACTATCTGATCTTTGACAAACCGATAAAAACAAGCAATGAGGAAAGGACTCCCTATTTAATAAATGGTGCTGGGAAAACTAGCTAGCCATATGTAGAAAGCTGAAACTGGATCCCTTCCTTACACCTTCTACAAAAATTAATTCAAGATGGATTAAAGACTTAAATGTTACACCTAAAACCAAAAAACCCTAGAAGAAAACCTAGGCAATACCATTCAGGACATAGGCATGGGCAAGGACTTCATGTCTAAAACACCAAAAGCAATGGCAACAAAAGCCAAAATTGACAAATGGGATCTAATTAAACTAAAGAGCTTCTGCACAGCAAAAGAAACTACCATTAGAGTGAACAGGCAACCTACAGAATGGGAGAACATTTTTGCAACCTACTCATCTGACAAAGGGCTAATATCCAGAATCTACAAAGAACTCAAACAAATTTACAAGAAAAAAACAACCCCATCAAAAAGTGGGCAAAGGATATGAACAGACACTTCTCAAAAGAAGACATTTATGCAGCCAATAGACACATGAAAAAATGCTCATCATCACTGGCTATCAGAGAAACGCAAATCAAAACCACAATGAGATACCATCTCACACCAGTTAGAATGGCAATCATTAAAAAGTCAGGAAACAACAGGTGCTGGAGAGGATGTGGAGAAATAGGAACACTTTTACACTGTTGGTGGGACTGTAAACTGTTTCAACCATTGTGGAAGACAGTGTGGCGATTCCTCAAGGATCTAGAACTAGAAATACCATTTGACCCAGCCATCCCATTACTGGGTATATACCCAAAGGATTATAAATCTTGATGCTATAAAGACACATGCACACATCTGTTTATTGCAGCACTATTCACAATAGCGAAGACTTGGAACCAGCCCAAATGTCCATCAATGATAGACTGGATTAAGAAAATGTGGCACATATACACCATGGAATACTATGCAGCCATAAAAAATGATGAGTTCATGTCCTTTGTAGGGACATGGATGAAGCTGGAAACCTTCATTCTCAGCAAACTATTGCACGGACAAAAAACCAAACACCGCATGTTCTCACTCATAGGTGGGAATTGAACAATGAGAACACTTGGACACAGGAAGGGCAACATCACACACCGGGGACTGTTGTGGGGTGGGGGGAGGGGAAAGGGATAGCATTAGGAGATATACCTAATGTAAATGATCAGTTAATGGGTGCAGCACACCAACATGGAACATGTATATATATGTAACAAACCTGCATGTTGTGCACATGTACCCTAGAACTTAAAGCATAATAAAAAAATTAAAAAAAAAAAAATAAAGGCCAAAAAAAAAAAAAAGAATCTGAGAAACATAACAGTGCTTTGCAGGGAAGACAGAAATCATAATTCTTGTAACAATATCAAGAGTCTGTGGGCAGGGAGTGGTGGCTCACACCTCTAATCCCAGCACTTTGGGAGGCTGAGTTAAGTGGATCATCTGAGATCAGGAGTTCGAGACCAGCCTGGCCAACACGGTGCAACCCCGTCTCTAGTAAAAATACAAAAAAAAAAAAAAAATTAGCCGGGCGTGATGGCGGGTGCCTGTAGTCCCAGCTACTCGGGAGACTGAGGCAGGAGAATGGCGTGAACCTCGGAGCCAGAGCTTGCAGTGAGCCGAGATAGCATCACTGCACTCCAGCCTCAGCAAAAACATGAGACTCTGTGTCAAAAAAAAAAAAAATTGTAAGTCTGTGGGCTACTTAGGCTTTCAGTTGCAATCTACAACGCTAAAGGGTAAAAGTAAAGGCAACTGTAAATGGATCCGGTCTTATAAATGATAATCTTGATACTCAAATTAACTTAATCTCTGACCAAATGATTGTTATTTACCCCCAGCCTAAGTAGCTTTGTGATTCTGAGAATCTGGGGAAAGCTCTCAGTAATTTCAAGAGTCTCAGGTAATAAAAATTGGGGTTTGGGACATTTTAGTTTCAACTATGACAAAAGAGCTAGCATTAGATAAACAATTGTATGCCAAACTACTGTGAAACCTCAATAATATGGGAAACAACTTTTTGAGGGGTTCAGCGAAAAAGCAGGACATTATGACTTTGGTGTCTAGAAGTCTGAGAGAGAATGGTTGAGCACCACAGTGACCCACATTCCATTCCATCCTTTTTACATAGGCTTTTTCCAATGTGTAGTTCAGTGAATAAAAGACAAACAGAAAGTGATGAAACCTGCTGCCATCTCATAGGGAGTTGATATATGGGTTGGAGTTCAGAACTCCCAAGGAAACTAAAACTTAAAGGGGAAGAGAGAACTCCAGAAAAGTATGACTAAAATTCTGAATGCAATTTTACTTTCAAGCCTTTCTAGTGCCTATGCTAAAGGTGTGTAAGATAAGACTCTATGAAAGCTAGCTAACCAACACCTCTTGGAGGCTAAACTCCGACAAAGATTTCAGCAGTTTTGTCATTCTGAGAAGGCAGAATTTGGAATTCAAGTATGAGTAAATGGCAGGAATCCTAGTAATACCAGAAACTTACTTTCACAGGAGAACCGAAAAAATTCTCTGGAAGAATAGAGGTTTCCAAAGGTAGGAAAAAATCAACAGAAGTAAATCTGAACAAAGTACAAAAACCATGTTCACCTGTACGTGAAAACATCTTTGCAAAAATTATAACTAAGAAAATCATGACAGTGAAAGAGATCTAACCTAACCAACTCCATCTTGCTTGTAACCTTCAAGCTGTCCTTGTTCATTCCTCGGCTTAGGCCAAACTAACTTTGGGAGGAACTTAATTTATAGTTTAACTTCAAAATAAAGATGATTACAGCCCTTTCCCCAAATAAAACCCTTTCTGCCTGGGGACTAGACTGCCTTTGCCGGACCAACAAATTAACCATGAGATTAGAAATCATGGTTTAGGAGTCATGTAGCTGGATTCCTTGACTGTCCAGCTGTCCAGACTGGAGGCTGCAAAATTCTCAATATCTAAATTGCTCCAGGGGATAACATCACCATTGAGAAACTCAAAATTGGCGATGGAATATTTTGCAGACCCTGTACTTGATGGATCAGCTGGCATCACCCAGATTGATAAATGGTCTCATCAGGTCTTGTGCCCCCCCCACCCAGGAACTGACTCCATGTAAGAGGACAGCTTCGACTCCCTGTGATTTCATCTCTGACCCAACCGGTTAGCACTCCTTACTCACTGGCCCCCTACCTACCAAATTATCCTTAAAGACGCCAATCCCCAAATTCTCAGGGAAGCTGCTTTGAGTAATAATAAAACTCCAGTCTCCCATGTGGCTGGCTCTGCATGAATTACTCTTTCTCTATTGCAATTCCCCTGTCTTGATAAACTGGCTCTGTGTAGGCAGTGGGCAAGGAGAACCTATTGGGTGGTTACACATCAAGATGGATTTCTAATAGTCTATCATACTACTATAACCTGAGCATTAATAATTTTTCACATATAAACTATAGCAGTCAATTGAAGATCACGAGAAATGACCAAGTGATAGATTATCAAAGAAATAAACATAATTAAAACAAACAAAGCAAAAACAAAGCAACCAAGGTAATCCAAATTTTAGATATATCAAAGGGTTTTTAAAATACCAACATGTTCAACGAAATATAGGAAATGATGAAGAAGTCCCAATGAAAATGAAAATCTATATGAAAGAGTCAAATGAAAAATCTAGAACTGAAAATATAAGATTTAAAATGTAATGTATTGATTTAATAAGAGATTTGACATAACAGAAGAGAGGATTGGTGAGAGTAAGAGAGTCATTATAATATACTAAAACTGAAGTATATAAACATAAAAGAAATACAATTCAGAAACATGATATTAAATACATATTTTAAATAAAGGTGTAATGTGCATATAATTGAAATTCTGGAAGGCAAGGACACAGAGAATGACTCAAAAGCATTGTAGGAAATAACAAATTTTTGAAAATTATGAAAGCCATGATTCACTAATTTTTAAAACTTATTGAAACTCAAATAGGAAAAGTATGGAAAAATGACATTAGAACATTGATAAAAATCAGAGAAATAGGAAAAGGAAGAAAAATGATACCAATGAGTAACTTTACAACAAAAATAATGGAAGCCAGGAGAAAAATGAAATGATGTTTTTAAAATGCTGACAAAAAGAAGCCAGAAAAACAAAATCTTGACAGCTAGAAATCTATAGCCAGGGAAAATGCACTTTAAAGTATAAGTGAAATAATGACATTTTACATAAACTAAATATGATAGAAATTATTTCCAGGAAACATGCATTAAAAATGAAAGTGAAATATTTCATCAGGCAAAAGGAAATGATCCCATCTGGAAATGCAATAATTTGTGAAAGAAGAAAAAAAAATGTAATTTGTAATTGTGGGTAATTCTAAATGAATATGGTCAGCTTAAATAAAAAATTATTAACCTATTTAACATTCAGAATTTACATAACAGTAGAACAAAGAATAAAATATAATCATTGATTTGCATGTATTGAAAGGAAAGTACATATAGAAAAATAAATAAACATAATTCTAAGGAAGATTTCCATAAGTCATATATGAGCATTGTAATTCTAGAACAAATGAATAAAATAAAATAAATATGAAACAAGAAAATAAATGGAAAGATTCATGAATAAAAACATGCTGGACTAATCTACAAGAAGTATGTCAGGCCTCTGAGCCCAAGCTAAGCCATCATATCCCCTGTGACATGCACGTATACATCCAGATGGCTGGTTCCTGCCTTAACTGATGACATTCTACCACAAAAGAAATGAAAATGGCCTGTTCCTGCCTTAACTGATGACACTATCTTGTGAAATTCCTTCTCCTGGCTCATCCTGGCTCAAAAGCTCCCCTTCTGAGCACCTTGTGACCCCCACTCCTGCCCGCCAGAGAACAACCCCCCTTTGACTGTAATTTTCCTTTACCTACCCAAATCTTATAAAATGGCCCCAACCCTATCTCCCTTCACTGACTCTCTTTTTGGACTCAGCCCACCTGCACCCAGGTGATTAAAAGCTTTATTGCTCACACAAAGCCTGTTTGGTGGTCTCTTCACATGGATGTGCATGAAATTTGGTGCCGTGACTCGGATTTGGGGACCTCCCTTGGGAGATCAATCCCCTGTCCTCTTGCTCTTTGCTCTGTGAAAAAGATCCACCTATGACCTCGGGTCCTCAGACCCACCAGCCCAAAGAACATCTCACCAATTTTAAATCAGGTAAGCGGCCTCTTCTTACTCTCTTCTCCAACCTTTCTCACTATCCCTCAACCACTTTCTCCTTTCAATCCTGGCGCCACCCTTCAATCTCTCCCTTCTCTTAATTTCAATTCCTTTCATTTTCTGGTAGAGACAAAGGAGACGCATTTTATCCATGGACCCAAAACTCCAGCACCGGTCACGGACTTGGGAAGGCAGCCTTCCCTTGGTGTTTAATCATTGCAAGGACGCCTCTCTGATTATTCACCCACGTTTCAGAGGTGTCTGACCACGCGGGGACGCCTGCCTTGGTCCTTCACCCTTAGCGGCAAGTCCCGCTTTTCTGGGGGAGGGGCAAGAACCCCGACCCCTTCTGTCTGGGTCTCTACCCCTTTTCTGCTTTTTTGGGTGGCAAGAACCCCCCAACCCCTTCTCCTTCACCCTTAGCAGCAAGTAACACTTTTCTAGGGGGCAAGAACCCCGTTCCCTTATTTCCATGCCCCGACCTCTTATCTCTATACCCCAATCCCTTATTTCTGCACCCTGACCTCTTATCTTTGTGCCCCGATCCCTTATTTCCACACCCTGACCCCTTATTTCTGTGCCCCAACCTCTTATCTCTGCACCCCAAACTCTTATCTCTGTGCCCCAACCCCTTATTTCCACATCCTGACCCCTTTCCCGCTTTTCTGGAGGGTAAGAACCCCCGAACCCCTTCCCTCCATGTCTCTCTCTTTTCTCTGGGCTTGCCTCCTTCACTATAGGCAACTTTCCACCCTCTATTCCTCCTTCTTCTCCCTTAGCCTGTGTTCCCAAGAACTTAAAACCTCTTCAATTCACACCTGACCTAAAACCTAAATGCCTTATCTTCTTCTGCAACACTGCTTGGCCCCAATACAAACTTGACAATGGCTCTCCATGGCCAGAAAATGGCACTTTCGATTTCTCCATCCTACAAGACCTAAAAAATTCTTGTCATAAAATGGGCAAACGGTCTGAGGTGCCTGATGTCCAGGCATTCTATTACACATTGTTCCCTCCCTACTCTCTGTTCCCAATGCGACTCATCCCAAATCCTCCTTCTTTCTCTCCCGCCTGTTCTCTCAGTCCCAACCCCAGGTGTCCTTGAGTCTTTCTAATCTTCCTTTTCTACAGACCCGTCTGACCTCTCCCCTCCTCCCCAGGCTGCCCCTCACCAGGCCAAGCCAGGTCCCAATTCTTCCTCATCCTCTACTCCCCAACCCTATAATCCTTTTATCACCTCCCCTCCTCACACCTGGTCCGGCTTACAGTTTCATTCCACGACTAGCCCTCCCCCACCTGCCCAGCAATTTCCTCTTAAAAAGGTGGCTGCAGCTAAAGGCATAGTCAAGGTTAATGCTCCTTTTTCTTTATCCGACCTCTCCCAAATCAGTTAGCATTTAGGATCTTTCATCAAATATGAAAAACCCAGCCCAGTTCATGGCTCCTTTGGCAGCAACCCTGAGACCACTTTACAGCCCTAGACTCTAAAAGGTCAAAAGGCCATCTCATTCTCAATATACGTTTTATTACCCAATCTGCTCCTGACATTAAATAAAACTCCAAAAATTAAATTCCAGCCCTCAAACCCCACAACAGGACTTAATTAACCTCACCTTCAATGTGTACAATAATAGAGTAGAGGCAGCCAAGTAGCAATGTATTTCTAAGTTGCAATTCCTTGCCTCCACTGTGAGACAAACCCCATCCACATCTCCAGCACACAAGAACTCCAAATGCCCAAACCGCAGCTGCCAGGGGTTCCTCCAGAACCTCCTCCCCCAGAAGCTTGCTACAAGTGCTGGAAATCTGGCCACTGGGCCGAGGAATGCCCAGAGCCCGGGATTCCTCCTAAGCCATGTTCCCTCTGTGCAGGACCCCACTAAAAATCAGACTGTTCAACTCACCTCGCAGCCACTCCCAGAGCCCCTGGAACTCTGGCCCAAGGCTCTCTGACTGACTCCTTCCCAGATCTTCTTGGCTTAGCAGCTGAAGACTGACAGTGCCTGATTGCCTTGGAAGCCTACAGGACCATCACAGACGCTCTGGATAACTCTCACAGTGGAGAGTAAGTCCGTCCCCTTCTTAGTCAATACAGAGGCTACCCACTCCACATTACCTTCTTTTCAAGGGCCTGTTTCCCTTGCATCCATAACTGTTGTGGGTATTGACAGCCAGGCTTCTAAACCTCTTAAAACTCCCCAACTCTGGTGCCAACTTAGAAAACATTCCTTTATGCACTCTTTTTTAATTATCCCCACCTGCCCAGTTCCCTTATTAGACCAAGACATTTTAACTAAATTATCTGCTTCCCTGACTATTCCTGGACTACAGCCTACAGCTGCATCTCATTGCCGCCCTTCTCCCCAACCCAAAGCCTTATTTGTGTCTTCCTCTCGTATCGCCCTACCTTAACCCACAAGTATGGGATATCTCGACTCCTTCCCTGGCAACCGATCACATGCCCATTACCATCCCATTAAAACCTAATCACCCTTACCCCACTCAACGCCAATATCCCATCCTACAGCACGCTTTAAAAGGATTAAATCCTGTTATCACTCACCTACTACAGCATGGGCTTCTAAAATCTATAAACTCCCCTTACAATTCCCCCGTTTCACCTGTTCTAAAGCCAGACAAGGCTTACAGGTTAGTTCAAGATCTGCGCCTTATCAACCAAATTGTTTTGCCTATCCACCCCTTGGTGCCAAACCCATATACTCTCCTATCCTCAATACCTCCCTCCACAATCCATTATTCTGTTCTAGATCTCAAACATGCTTTCTTTACTATTCCTTTGCACCCTTCATCCCAGCCTCTCTTTGCTTTCACTTAGACTGACCGTGACACCCATCAGGCTCAGCAAATTACCTGGGCTGTACTGCCGCAAGTCTTCACAGACAGCCCCCATTACTTCAGTCATGCCCAAATTTCTTCCTCATCTGTTACCTATCTCGGCATAATTCTCATAAAAACACATGTGCTCTCCCTGCTGATCGTGTCCGGCTAATCTCCCAAACCCCAATCCCTTCTACAAAACAACAACTCGTTTCCTTCCTAGGCATGGTTAGTGCGGGCAGAATTCTTACGCAAGAGCTGCGACCGCACCCTGTAGCCTTTCTGTGCAAACAACTTGACCTTACTGTTTTAGCCTAGCCCTCATGTCTGCGTGCAGCGGCTGCCGCTGCTTTAATACTTTTAGAGGCCCTCAAAATCACAAACTATGCTCAACTCACTCTACATTTCTCATAACTTCCAAAATCTATTTTCTTCCTCACACCTGACGCATATACTTTCTGCTCCCCAGCTCCTTCAGCTATACTCACTCTTTGTTGAGTCTCCCACAATTACCATTGTTCCTGGCATGAACTTCAATCTAGCCTCCCACGTTATTCCGGATACCACACCTGACCCTCATGACTGCATCTCTCTGATCCACCTGACGTTCACCCCAACTCCCCACATTTTCTTCTTCCCTGTTTCTAAACCTGATCACACTTGGTTTATTGATGGCAGTTCCACCAGGCCTAATCGCCACTCACCAGCAAAGGCAGGCTATGCAATAATATCTTCCACATCTGTTATTGAGGCTACCGCTCTGTTCCCCTCCACTACCTCTCAGTAAGCCGAATTAGTTGCCTTAACTCAAGCCCTCACTCTTGCAAAAGGACTACGCGTCAATATTTACACTGAATCTAAATATGCCTTTCATATTCTGCACCACCATGCTGCTATATAGGCTGAAAGAGGTTTCCTCACTACACAAGGGTCCTCCATCATTAATGTCTCTTTAATAAAAACTCTACTCAAGGCTGCTTTACTTCCAAAGGAAGCTGGAGTCATTCACTGCAAAGGCCATCAAATGGCATCAGATCCCATTGCTCTAGGCAACGCTTATGCTGATAAGGTGGCTTGACAAGCAGCTAGCTTTCCACTTTCTGTCCCTCACAGCCAGATTTTCTCCTTCACATCAGTCACTCCCACCTACACCCCCGCTGAAACTTCCACCTATCAATCTCTTCCCACACAAGGCAAATGGTTCTGAGACCAAGGAAAATATCTCCTTCCAGCCTCACAGGCCCATTCTATTCTGTCGTCATTTCATAACCTCTTCCGTGTAGGTTACAAGCCGCTAGCCCATCTCTTAGAACCTCTCATTTCCTTTCCATCCTGGAAATCTATCCTCAAGGAAATCACTACTCAGTGTTCCATTTGCTATTCTACTACCCCTCAGGGATTGTTCAGGCCTCCTCCCTTTCCTACACATCAAGCTAGAGGATTTGCTCCTGCCCAAGACTGCAAATTGACTTTACTCACATGCCCCGAGTCAGAAAACTAAAAGACCTCCTAGTCTAGGTAGACACTTTCACTGGATAGGTAGAGGCCTTTCCTACAAGGTCCGAGAAGGCCACCACTGTCATTTCTTCCCTTCTGTCAGACATAATTCCTCGGTTTGGCCTTCCCAACTCTGTACAGTCCGATAGTAGACCAGCCTTTATTAGTCAAATCAGCCAAGCGTTTTTTCAGGCTCTTAGTATCCAGTGAAACCTTTATATCCCTTATGGTCCTCAGTCTTCAGGAAAAGTAGAACAGACTAAAGGTCTTTTAAAAACACACCTCACCAAGCTCAGCCACCAACTTAAAGAGGACTGGACAATACTTTTACCACTTTCCCTTCTCAGAATTCAGGCCTGTCCTTGGAATGCTACAGGGTACAGCCCATTTGAGCTCCTGTATAGATGTTCCTTTTTATTAAGCCCCAGTCTCATTCCAGACACCAGACCAACTTGGACTGTGCCCCAGAAAACTTGTCATCCCTACTATCTTCTGTCTAGTCATACTCCTATTCACCGTTCTCAACTACTCATACATGCCCTGCTCTTGTTTACACTGCCGGTTTACACTGTTTCTCCAAGCCATCACAGCTGATATCTCCCGGTGCTATCCCCAAACTGCCACTCTTAACTCTTGAAGTAAATAAATAATCTTTACTGGCAGGACTATGCTGAATCTCCTTAGGCACTCTCTAATCAGATGTCCTGGGTCCTCCCAATTCTTACACCTTTAATACCTGTTTTTCTCCTTCTCGTATTCCGTTTAGTTTTTCAATTCATACAAAACCATATCCAGGCCATCACCAATAATTCTAAATGACAAATGTTTCTTCTAACAGTCCCACAATATCACCCCTTACCACAAAATCTTCCTTCAGCTTAATCTCTCCAGAGATTAAGCTTGGGAACTCTAGGTTCCCATGCTGCCCCTAATCCTGCTCAAAGCAGCCCTGAGAGACATTGCCCATTATCTCTCAATACCATCCCCCAAAATTTTCACCGTCCCAACACTTTACCACTAAGAAGACAGGAATGTCAGGCCTCTGAGCCCAAGCTAAGCCATCATATCCCCTCTGACCTGCACGTACACATCCAGATGGCTGGTGCCTGCCTTAACTGATGACATTCCACCACAAAAGAAATGAAAATGGGCTGTTCCTGCCTTAACTGATGACATTATCTTGTGAAATTCCTTCTCCTGGCGCATGCTGCCTCAAAAGCTCCCCACTGAGCACCTTGTGACCCCCACCCCTGCCCGCCAGAGAACAACCCCCCTTTGACTGTAATTTTCCTTTACCTACTCAAATCTTATAAAATGGCCCCACCCCTATCTCCCTTCGCTGACTCTCTTTTCGGATTCAACCCGCCTGCACCCAGGTGATTAAAAGTTTTATTGTTCACACGAAGCCTGTTTGGGGGTCTCTTCACACGGATGCGCATGAAAAGGTAAAAGAGAAAAAAAGAGAAACGAAAACAGGTGGAACAAAGAATAATAACCCTCATGAATCTAAATATATCAATAATTTCAGTAAATGTGAGCAAACTAATAATACTCGAATTAAATCAGAAGAGTTATAGAAAGGAGAAAATAAAACAAATCACAATAAAATCTTTATGCTGCTTTTAAGAGGTCTTAAACATAAGGTACTAGAGAGACTAATGTATGAAAGATAGAGCATCTGTAACATTCATCTCTCAATTAGTTCAAAATTTTACCTACCACAGACACGTGAAAGACTTTTGCTGCCCCCTACCCTTCATTTCATGATTAGCACCACAAAGGAATTATAGGTGGTAGCTAGTCAGATATGAGCAGAGCAGGAGAGGACTTCCCCCACCCAAACACACACACCAGGAACGTCGGGTGACCATCAAGTGATGGTCAGGCAATTGTTAACTGTCTCTCTAAAATAATAATTTGTCACAGCCAGCACCAGGGAAAGGCAGTCTCCCAATAGATAAAAAATCCTGAAATTGGTGACTGGCAGCTTCTCGATAAAATCTCAAGAGTTGAGTAAGTGGGCTCAAGCCTGCACACTATGGAAATATTTTGCAGACCCTGTGCTTGATGGATCAGCTGGCACCACTCAGACTGATAAATGGTCTCATCTGGTCTTGTGGCCCCCCAACCCAGGAACTGACTCAGTGGAAGAGGACAGCTTTGACTCCCTATGATTTCAGCTCTGAACCAACCAATTAGCACTCCTGACTTACTGGCCCCCTACCTACCAAATTATTTGCACACTAAGAGGCAAAATGGTGGATGACCTTCCTCTAGGAACACTGGCCTAGTAAGGGGAAAATGCCTCAAGTGAGCATGGGTAAAACTCCAGTAAGCACACTGCACATGTTCCCCTCCCAAACCCTAGCAGGCCACTGCACATGCGGACAGCGCACCCCAAGGGAAGAATCAGGGGAAAAGAGACGCAAGACCCCAGAAGTATGCCAATGTATAAAACCCCAAGTCCAAATTCAAACAGTACAGTTGATCTCTCAAGTTGCCTACTTGGCCCTCTTCTAAGTGGGCTTTACTTTCATTCATTCCTGCTCTAAAACTTTTTAATAAACTATCACTGCTGCTCAAAACCTGCCTCAGTCTCTCCTTATGCCTTATGCCCCTCAGTTGAATTTTTTCTTCTAAGAAATCAAGGATTGAGGTTGCTACAGAACCATATGGATTTGCGATCAGTGACATGCTTTGGTGACGTGACTTGGATATGATTCTTAGTGCTAACAGGATGACCTGGCACAGTATTACAAAAGCACCAGTTCTCTAATCCTAGATGTTTTCAAAGAAACATGCTTTACAAAAGACTTTCACTGTTGAAGACAGATATTGAATGAAATCAATTTTTAAATAGCCTTCCTCATGAATTTGCAATAATTGCTTAATTTATCATGTGAACCTATTATATATTAGGTTCACATGATATTAAACCTACAATAAATTTAACCTATAATGGTTAAATTTCACGATAGAGCTGATGATAAGCTTTTGGTAGCAGAGACGTTTCAAAGCAGCTATTTTCTTATTTAAATGTTTTATTGTATTTTTAGAATTACATTCAACCTGTGGTTCCTTTCGAAGTGATTCTTTAAAACCACTTGATCATTTCATTATGATAGTTATTTAAGTCTACTATCTAAAGCCAAGTTAATATAATTAGTTATAAGGAAATTATAATATCTCACAATATAATGCATTAGAATTTATAAAATCTAAAATCTGCATATTAAAAATATAAATAGGAATAGATTAAACAGAATTAGCAAGATTAAAGAGTATAGCTAATAATTATGGAAAGTTAAACACTGCATGTTTGCACTTATAAGTGGTGGATAAACAATGGGTATACATAGAGATACAGAATAAATAAAAAAGCAAGTAAAGTTAAACATCGCATGTTTGCACTTATAAGTGGTGGATAAACAATGGGTATACATAGATATACAGAGTAAATGAATAAATAAAAAAACAAGTAAAGTTAAACACTGCATGTTTGAACTTATAAGTGACATATAAACAATGGGTACACATAGATGTCAGGACTTTGAGCCCAAGCTAAGCCGTCACATCCCCTGTGACCCACACGTATACATTCAGATGGCCTGAAGCAAGTGAAGAATCATAAAATAAGTGAAAATGGTCGATTCCTGCCTTAACTGATGACATTACCTTGTGAAATTCCTTCTCCTGGCTCAGAAGCTCCCCCACTGAGCACCTTGTGACCCCCTGCCCCTGCCTGCCAGAGAACAACCCCCTTTGCCTATAATTTTCCACTACCTACCCAAATCCTATAAAACGGTCTCACCCCTATCTCCCTTCACTGACTCTTTTCGGTCTCAGCACGCCTGCACCCAGGTGATTAAAAAGCTTTATTGCTCACACAAAGCCTGTTTGGTGGTCTCTTCACAGGGACGTGCATGACAATTAGACATACAGAGTAAATGACAGATACTGGAGATTCCAAAAGGTAGGAGGGTGGAGAGGGGTGAAGATCGAAAAATTACTATCTGGTAGAATATTCACTAATTGGGCAAAGGGTGCTCTAAAACCCCAGACCTCACAACTACACAATATGTCCATGTAACAAAACTGCCCTTGTGAAACCACCTTTGCAAACATTCTATCAGCGAGAACATTATGGCAGTGGGGAAGATCTGATCTAGCCAACCCCCTGTCTCTCGCGTTTAGCTTTCAAGCTGCCTTAATTATTTCTGGGCTTAGGCCAAGCTAGCTTTGGAAGACATTTACGTTATAGTTTAAATGATAATAGCCTTCCCCAAAACTCAACTGCCTTTGTAAAGCTAATGAGAGACCACCAGGCTAGGGGGAACTCAGGAGCCAGAATTCTGCTAGGGTGTAGACTGCTCACAAGATATGCAACTTCCCCGCTTGCTTACCCCTACAGATAACATCACTATTGTGGATCTGCCTTTTGAGAAATCTTTTCAGGTTTTTTGCATGGCTGACACCTGATGGCTCCATTTGGACTTGGCAAACCACTCCTGGGGCCCCACCCAGGAGTGACTCATCTCCAGAAGACAGCCTTGACCCCCTGTGATTTAATCTCTGCCCCAACCAATCAGCAGCAAGCACTCATTTCCTAGCCACCTCACCCCTTCCTGCAAACTGCCTTTGAAAATACCTGTAACCTAAGAGCTTTTGTTGAGATTGATTTGAGTAATTACTTTATCTCCCACATGGCCTGGCTGGCCTCATGTCTAGTAAACTCTTTCTTTACTGCATTGCTGTGCTTTTTGTACAGTGGGCAGGAAGACTCTTCAGGAGGTTACACTTATATGCTTTAAGCTGTTTTTTTTTTTTTAAAAAAAAAAAAGCTCTTTAAAGCAGATGTTCAAAATTATGTATGGAAAAACAGAAAGAATGATCATGGATTATTTTACATAAAATATTAATGCAACCTATAGAATGGTAGAAAATGCAACCTATGGAATGGTAGACAATATCTGCAAACCATATATCTGATAAGGTACTAATACAAAAATATAAAAGAAACTCACTCAGCTTAACAGCAAAAAAAAAAAAATACCTAAATTAAAATGGGCAAAGAACCTGATTAAACATTTATACAAACAAAATATACAAATGACAAATAGGTATATAAAAAGGTACTCACCATTACTAACTGAATGTACATCAAAACCACAATGAAATATTACTTCATACCTGTTAGAATGATTATGATGAAAAAGACTAGACATGACAAATACTGATGAGGGTGTGGAGAAAAGGGAATCTTTGAACACTGTTGGTGGAAATCTAAATTGATACACCTGTTATAGAAAATGATATGGAGGTTCTTCAACCCAATAAAAATAGAAGTACTATATAATTCAGCAATCCTATTTCTGAGTATATATCCAGAGAAAATCAAATAAGTATCTCAGAAGGATATCTGCATCCCCATGTTCATTGGAACATTATTCAGAATGGCTAAAATACGGAAACAAGTGTCCATGAATGAATGAATGAATGGATAAGGAAATCATAGTATATGTATGCAATGCAATATTATTCAGCCATAAAAAGAATAAAACTAATTTGGAACAACATAGATGAGCCTGGAGGACATTATGCTAACACAAAAAGACAAATATTGCATAACATAACTTCTATATAAAATCTTAAAAAGTATAACTCATAGAAGCAAAGAATAGAGTGGTCCTTGTCAGGGGATGAGGAATGGAGGAAACAGATGTTACTCAAAGCACACATTTTCAGTTATAAGATGAACAATTTCTGGGGCTATAATGTACAGCATGGGTGATAGATGCATTAAATAAATTTGTTGAGGGTAATCATTATACAGTATACACATATATCAAATCATCACATTGTTCACCTTGAATATATTCAATCTTTGTCAATTACATATTTTTCTTAAATAAAAACTGTTCAAAGTTGCTCAGCTGATAAGCAAATATCAAGTGTTTAGAGGTGGGTGCAATGCTTACAGAGTTCTTGCTATTAAGCACAATTCTGTCTCTTCTATCTCTCATTCAGATGTATTATTATTATTTTAAGACAGCATTATACTCAAATACCTTAAAATGGTCGGCAAGGTAGTACACAAATTGGCATCATCTCCCTTCATGGCCTGTTATCTTGCTTATCACAGTGGAGTCACTGTGATTATATTGGTCCTGCTAATCTTGCAAATGTGAAAAAAAATTCCTGTTTTGGGACATTTTCTTTAGCTGTTTGTCTGTTGGGAAGCCTCTAACTCCTGATAGCTACTTATCACTTGACCAATTTCCTCCCTTTCAATCTTTACTCGGATGTTACTTTTTCCATGAAGCTTAGTCTGGCTATTTTACACAGCCAGCACTCATAAAACCTATCACTACTGCTACTGCTACAAGTCTGATTTTCTCCTCTCTTTCTCTCTCCTCTACTCCAAATGTATGTGTGTGTGTGTGTGTGTGTGTGTTTATCTTCTAGCATATTATCTGATTTGCAAAGCCAGGTAGAATCATAACTTAAGTGGTTGCTAATAGATCATGGATTTTCAGAGGCATCATAAATAGAAGCCACCCAAAGTGCTCCCTAATTTGCATAATTATAAAGCCTTGACAGCCAAGAAGCAGGTATCTGATATTACCCATGACAAAACTCACAGTCCACTTATTTCTCAGGTCAGAACCCACAGTGCCAGAGATCAATATTTGTGGAATAAATAGCACTTTGAGGAAGATCTCTGCAACTTCACCTAAATCTATGTATTAATTATTTCTCCAATTCTTTTCAAATAGATAGGTAATGGTTTTCCAAGGCAAATATATACTTAGAAAAGTAAATATCCTGACTTTTTAAGGATTCCGATCCTTACAACATATAAAATCCAAACTAACACTAATGCCTAGTGACTCAAAACATCATCACAATCCAAAATTAGAGTGGAAACTAATGAATATTAAAAAATAAAGTTTTCAGAAGGTGCCTAAAGGGATCTTGAGTTAATTGTCCTGGTTCATCAACATATAATTGGACAGACATAGTTACCAGAAGGTTGAATACTAGCATTTGTTCTTGATCTATAGAAGAAAGCTTATTGCAGTAGGAAGAACAAATGGAAGCCCTTAAGACTGTAAACCAATTGTGGCGTGATAGTAACAAAAATCGCTGGTGTGTTATGGAAGGGATTGTAGAGGTAAATGTTACCAACATAGATGTGAAATCTGAAAAGGCAATTGTCCTATCTCATCTCTGTTGAATTTATCTATCTGTTCTCTATAAATTTAGCTGTATCATAGCAAATGACTACATATTGTCATGAATTTAGTCATGTTGTAATCTCAAATTTAACTGTTGTGGAGAATGTAATATGTTTACTGGAGTAATTCACAAATTTCAATTACTGCACTGTACTTGATATATTGGTATTTATTTACACAATACTCTCATGTCCATGCTCATCATTAAGAATGATCAAAATATGTGACAGAGACAGCAATATACTTTTATTCATTTAAGTCAGTACTATCAGCTCTCCAGGTTTTTGTGCTCATATACTTCACAGGGATATTATTTATATTATCATTCTGTAGATCTTTACAATAGATAACTGAAATTATGACAGCATGTTAATTGAATATCATGTTAATTTGATAATATTAACTCATAACTCAGAAGTTGTAATTAAACAAGAAAACTTTGTAGGAAATATGTGAAGCAGAGGTTGGAAAATAAACCCATGGAGATTAGGATGTCTGCCATTAGGTGAAGTTTTAGGATCCAGTCATCAGGAACATATAATGATATTTCTGCTAAGGTAAAAAATACAATGCTGATTCTTGTATATCATACCACTAAGAAAGATGCTCAACAACTGTTGAATTTCCTTGCCTTTAAGATGTATGACACATTGATGTTGAATATGCTATGTCCTATTATTGAGTTATCTGGACAGTTAATGTTTTGAGTAGAGTTAAGAGCAAGAAATGACTCTATATCAGGTCCAGGCTGCAGTGCAAGTCATTTTACTTTTGGAGTACTATGATCCCATGGATGTGAGGTAACTAAAAGAATCGGTAGATAAGATATTGTGATATTTCTGGCAAATCCCAACAGAAGAGTTGAAGCACAGAACTTGTATTCATTATCTGTTGCTGTGTAAAAATTACCTCAAATCTCTGTAGCTTTAACCAATAAATGTTTATTATCTCAGTGTTTTTTTTTGGGTCAGGATTCTATCCATGGCTTTGCTAGGTGTTTATTCTTTCTCTCACAAGGTTCCAGGGCTGGTCACATCTGAAAGCTCAAGTAGAAGAAGGGATGTACTCAGGATTATGTACACTGCCATTGCCAGTTTCCTATTAGCTTTTGGAATGACAATCCTAGTTTCTGATTAGTTGTTAGTCAAAGACCTCTCTTGCCATGCAGGTCTCTCCAGAGGGCAGCTCTCAGCATGGTAGACAATTTTTCTTCTGAACAAGTGAGAGAAAGAGACTGAGAGAGAGAACACAAGATGGAAGCCAGAATTGGTTTGTAACCCAATTTCAGATGTTATATCTCATAACTGTCAAAGCAGTGTATTTTCTAGAAATGAGTCACAAGATCCAGTCCACACTCAAAGGGATAGGATTAGACATTGGGAACAACAGGAGACATAAATCATTCATGGGCATCTTAGAAGCTACCAGCTACATATATCTTAGGGTTTGGGGGCAAAGCCATCATGACTTCTGCGGTAGAGAAATATCTTCTGTGAAAAAAATGAATATGGTGTTCCAGTAGGACCTCAGTACAGCTGATGAAATAATAATGCTATGTTAACTGACCATACTCCTTGTGCTGCCTATTAGGAAGTAGATGCTATCTGATTTACTGAGTCAAAGGGCTGAGTGGAAATATGAATGTCTATAATCAAGACTTAAAAGGTGACGCCTTTGCTGTTAGCACCATCTAAACATTAGGATTATCTGTTAGCACAGTGTTCTACACATTATCTATGACCAAACTTTCCATTTTACAGAAAAGGAGGTGTGATAATAAGATCATAGAAATCTGATTTTCTTGTGTTTCAATGTAGCCAGTAACACAGAAATAACCACCCTGATATACATTGGATTACACTTCTGAAGACTTGGCTAAGGGACTCTGCACTGTGGGGGCATTATCTTTCAGGATACAGCATGCATCTGGGATCAAATAAAAGTCACTGTGTTACTTAGAGCTAGTATACATAGTTCCTGGAACTTAGATGTGGAATTGGTAATATGTCCTCTTGCTAAAGCATCTGGTGATTTTTATTCTAAATATTATAATCTCAGTCTTTGCTATTTTAGATATATTCATTACTGAGGGTGGTGTTAGGGATGATTCTAGCAGAATACACAATAATGGTTTCAGCAAACTGGAAGTTATGAAGATTACCTGCCCAGCACTGCATTGGTTGAAGTAATTGATTCTGATTGCCAGGAGGAGATATGGTTGCTATTACACAATGTAAGCTGGGAGGATTAAATGTGAAACCCGAGATTCATTGTAACATTACTGCTACCTCCATATGTGATAATGACTAGGTATGCCAAACTATTATAATCCCAAAACCAAGTACAACTGAGAGCACTTGGAGAATGATAGTCTGGATTATCCTGCCAGGCAAACAACTTATCAGGTGAAATATGGAGAGCGAATGGCATTTAAAGGTGCAATAGAGAAAGAAGATTATTAGTATTAATTGCAGCCTTAGGACCAGATGCAGCAATGGAGGCTGTAGTTTTTGTTATTAGCTCTCTCACCTTAGCCTTTCAGAAAATTACACATGACCATCACTTTGAGGGAAATCCTTTAAATTTAAAACTTTTTGTTTCCCTTTGGAAGAATAAAAGACATTTTATCCTCATAGGAAATAATTGAGGCCAGATTTTATAGTTTGTCACCTAATTATAAAGAAGGGGCCAAAAAAAAAGGACCTAAGTAGAACATGGGATGGATACATTGGATACAGCCTGTGCTCCTCATTTTTCCTAACCATTGTTGTCTTTCTCTTTTTTAATTGATTATCCACCTATGCCAGGTCACCACTCTGCTTTCAAACCCAGAAAAACTATAAAGCAGAAAGTGTGGTGTACCAGACACACCACTTTCCTATCCTCTTGCATATGTGAGAGACCAGAGTGAATTACTACCCTCTCCCCTCCAAGCAGACTTTGACAAAACACTGATGGAAATAAACATACCTCTTTGATTGGGATAGCTATGAGCTGTGATATGAGTTTTACATTCCTTCTTCCAAATTCTGTCAAGGATTAAAAAAATCAAGTCCTGCTTAATGGTGGCTTATGACAACATACTCTTTATCAGCTGATTTCACTTCTCTATCTGACTTTACACTTCTCTACTGGGTCTCAAACCTTCAACATAAGCCACTTGCAATTGAACCTTTGTCTTAAGTTGTGCTCAAGATAAATGGCATCTGGTGTCCTGAGTAGCTGTCAAGGGACAGTCAAAATTAGGAAATAGGAAGAGAGGGAACTTCACAGTGACACCCTCCTGGCTTTATCTCTTTCATAGACAGGTTCAAGATGCATTTTCTTTTTTCAATCATTTTATAAAACTCCCACATGACAGCCAAACACACTTGCATTCTTTCCATGGCTAGTTTCCAAGTGTATGCCAACACTGAAATGTATCTCATCACAACGCTTAATATCTTTCCTTGCCATATACTTCTCTTTTCCATTTCAGCTAAGTTAAGGGTTTCATCTTTGGGATTAAAATCTGTAATACTTTAATAACTTTTGTCCACTTTATGCTTTCATCTAAGACATCTATAACCAAGACAATTATGGATTTGCATTCTGGGCTATAGATTTTAATATGCAACTCGATATCAATACGGACCATCAGAAATATTGTTCAAAGGAAATGACACAACCAAGGTATTAGAAAATTCTAAATCTTATATGATATGTATGATTCAGCTGCAAAGTCTGACAGTATGTGTTTAATACACACAGGGAGACTAATTTTTGTCTCTGGCTAGCCTTAAATATGGTCTGAGTCACATAACCTGTAAAATGAGGTATAATACATAATATGTTTAGATAATAAGTAAAGTTATAATTATGTTTCACAAAATAAACATTTTCTAGACAAACTTGAAAATGAATTAATATATTAGACAATGATAACTTTACTTAACTTCATTGTTTTGTACTTGAAATAATAATTCATTTTAGCATTTCAAAAATTATTAAAAAATAGCTAGCGTTATTATTCACCTCATAAATAGATAACAGCCATCAGGTGTCCTTAGATGTTACATCAAATTTATAAAATAGGCTGGGCATGGTGGCTCACGCCTGTAATCCCAGCACTTTGGGAGGCTGAGGCAGGCGGATCACCTGAGGTCAGGAGTTAGAGACCAGCCTGACCAACATGGTGAAATCCCATGTCTACTAAAAAAAAAAAATGCAAAAATTAGCCAGGCGTGGTGGGGCACACCTGTAATCTGAGCTACTCGGGAGGCTGAGGCAGGAGAATTGCCTGATCCCTGGAGGCGGAGGTTGCAGTGAGCCGAGATCACATCATTGTACTCCAGCCTGGGCAACAAGCGTGAAACTCCGTCTCGGGGGGAAAAAAATTATAAAATAATCTTTGTGTTATCAGGTTTCCACTCAATCTATAGTTCCTCAATGTTAGTCTATGGAGCATAAGCAAATAATTAAAGATACATATTTTCTATATACAAAATAAAAAAATTATTTTACTGTATTATGATATATTAGATTATCTTTATTAAATATAGTCCAATTAGATAGTAGTGCATATGTTATTTAAAAACACAAATTTATATCTACCCATATTGTGTATGTACTTATTTCTGCCCTTTTCCAGAAAAATTGTAAAATAATATACAGAAATGAATACAATTTTATGAAATAAAACAATCAAAATAAATATTGATGGTATTGATGAGGGTATAGGGTAAGAAAATAAGCTAGAATTGAAAATGCACAGTGGAGACATAAATAAGCATAGATAAAAATCCAAAGCAAAATCATATGGATTTTATATCAATCCCAACAAAACATGAGGAGTAGACTTTTTCCAGTATTGATTCTAAGACTTCATAAAGATATTGCAGGAAAAATTATAGTGAAAACAAAAAAAGTGAAATCTGTTATAAAATTCATCACGGTAGGCCACTAGCAAAGTTACTAGGAATTTCAAGAGTTCTAATTTTTATGCAAATTAGTATTTGGGGTTGTAATCTAGGATTTGGAACATAGGTGGACACATACTTGCCATTTGATATTTATTCTGTTCTTTTTTCTTGCTAACAGAAATCGGATATTGTTTTTCTTTGGAGAGGGAATGCATTCCAATTAAAAAAGAAATTCCAATTCCAGCTCCTGAGTAATTGACCTTTTCTGCTGCTATTTTTTAATATTAAAAAGAGTAAGTAAAAATTGTCGCTATATATTCTTTTACATTCTTATGTGTACAATGTAAGATAACAAACAGCACAGGGATTATAAACTGAAACAAAGCAGAATGTGTGGATTATAATTTAGTCTGTTTGATCACATAGCTTCAGGCCTAGGTTGACAAACAGTAACTGCACTTAATTAAGAGGATCTAGTTTTGCCTATTTGTTCAATCCTTTCAGTTCTTCCAATTAGTGAATACATACATCCACACAAAGAAAGGGTGAAACATTCCTTTTTCGGTATGAAAATATCAGAGGCTTTCAGGAGTTTACTAAAGGAAGGTTTCTATTAATGTTAATAGATGAAAATGTTATAAAAAAGAAGAGGATTATCTGAGCCAATGATTCTATTTGCATGTAAAAAAAGAAATAAAACAAAGCACACACACATCAATTTATATATTTTTATAAACAAGCTTGTGAGAAAATAAAAATTGAAAATCTGTTTTGATAATTAATATCATATTCACATTTTACATTACACCAGATTTCCTATGATCGAAGTTCTGTGTTAATTTTACAAAAAGCCTTCATATTCCCAATGATTTTTAGTTGAGTGTGTAGAAAATATAGGTGAAAATAAGTATTTCTTGATGATGATATTTACATTTTACATCACACAATTTTTAAGAAATGTCAAACACTGAGTGTAAAGTTATGAAAAAAATCTCAAAATAGGTACACTATCAAAATATTACGATTGGCACAATGAATTAATGTATGAGTTCATTAAAACTGCAAAAAATTAACTCACTTCCATATTATCCTAATTTGACAATTTTTGTTAAAATAAGAAATGCTTGAGATGTATCATAATCCTTTTAGCTCACTTATAAAAAAGTGAGATTTTGAAATTAGTAATATACAAGTTATAATGTCAAGTGATATCTTACTCAAAATGTATGCTATTTAGCCAATGAATCATTTTATGAGTGAGTCTTTAATTGTAATATTTAACACAGTATGTAATTTATTTGAACTTAAATCCTGATTCTTAGCAATTCGTTTTGCTACAGATTAAATATTATGCAAATTTACTTGGTTTATAGGTTTTTATTTAACAAAACCATCTTTGTGAGTGATTTATTTACTACTTCCACATGAAATAAATAATTGTGGAAATATTAACCATAATGAACACTGATAAATTATGTACTTAGGAGAAAATACATCTAGTTCCTGTTAAGTATTTTGTTAACTTAAAATTGCTTCAAAAAATAAATTCTGTTAATTTAAAAAACAACAGAAAATATGCTAATGCTTGCCTGACACCTCTAAGTTCCATTCTTAATAAACATGTTAAAGTAAATATGCCAAAACTGAACTTTTCACTTTTTCCTACAAAACTCTTTCTTCTACAGCTCCTCATTACTTATGCAAATTTTGGTAGCTGGCTTAAATTTCTCCCTGGAAGATGTTTTTTTTTTCTATTGCATCATCAGTCTGCAAATTTCCAAAACTTTTATGCTCTGCTTTCTTTTTAAACATAAGTTCCAATTTCAGACCATATCTTTGTGAATACATACCACTGAATACTCTTAAGAGCACTCAATCACCTTTTGAATGCTTTGCTGCTTAGAAATTTCTTCTGCAAGACATCCTAAAACATCTCTCTCAAGTTCAAAGTTCCACAGATCTCTGGGGCAGAGACAAAAATGCTGCTAGTCTCTTTGTTAAGCATAGCAAGAATTACCTTTATTTTAGTTCCCAACAAGTTCCTCATCTCCATCTGAGATCACCTCAGCCTGGACTTTATTGTCCATATCACTATCAGCATTTTGGTCAAAATCATTCAACAAGTCACTAAGAAGTTCCAAACTTTCCCACGTCTTTCTATTTTTTTCTGAGCCCTCCAAACTGTTCCAACCTCTGCCTATTACCCAGTTCCAAAGTTGCTTCCACATTTTTGAGTATCTTTATAGCAGCACCCCACCCTCTGCAGTACCAATTTACCATATTAGTCACTTTTCACATTGCTATGAAGAAATACCCAAGCCTGGGTAATTTATTAAGGAAAGATGTGCAATTCACTCACATCTCTGCACTACCAGGGAGATCTCAGGAAACTTACAATCATGGCAGAAGGCAAAGAAGAAGCAGACACCTTCTTCACAGGGTGGCAGGACAGAGCTAGTGCAAGTAGGGAAAATGCCAGATGCTTATAAAATCATCATATCTCATGAGAAGTCACTCACTATCATGAGAACAGCATGAGGGAAACTACCCCCATGATCCAATTGCCTCCATCTGGTTCACCCTTCACATGTGGAGATTATGAATATTACCATTTGAGAGAGATTTTGAATGGGAGCACAGATCCAAACCATAGCACTGCCTTAAGGTATCTAATAATCAAACTCCCAAAGGTCAAGGGAAAAGAAAGGATTCTAAAAATAGCAAGAGAAAAGAAACAAATTACATGCAATGGAGCACCAATATGTCTGGCTGCAGATGTTTCAGTGGAAACTTTATTGGTTTAGGAGAGAGTGGCATGACGTGCTAAAAAAAAAAAAAGAAACAACTTTTACCCTAGAAAAGTATATCCAGTAAAAATATTCTTTAAATATAAAGGAGAAATAAAGACTCCCAGATAAACAAAAGCTGAGGGATTTCATCAACACCAGACCTGTCTCACAATAAACAATAAATAGAGTACTTCAATCTGAAATAAAATGATATTAATGAGCAATAAGTAATCCCCTGAAGATAAAAAAAACTCACTGGTAATAATTAGTACACAGAAAAATACAGAATAATATAATACTGTAAGTATGGTATGTAAACTACTCTTATTCTAAGTAGAAAAACTAAACAATGAACCATTCAAAAACAATTACAACAACTCTTCAATACATAATCAATACAATAAGACATAAATAGAAACAAAAAAATTACAAAGCTTGGGGACAAAGTTAAGCAGTATAGCTTTTATTAGTTTTCTTTTTGCTCGTTTGACAGTTTGTTTATGCAAACAGTGTTAAGTTGTTACCAGGTTAAAATAACAGGTCATAAGATAAGATTTGTGAACCACATAGTAACCTTAAACCAAAAAACATACAACAGAGACAAAAAAATATAAAGCAAGAAATTGAATTATAACACCAGAGAAAATCACCTTCACTAAAGGAAGACAGGAAGAAAAGATAGAAGAGAAGATCACAAAATAACCAGAAGACAAATAACAAAATGGCAGAAATGAGTCCTTACATGTCAATAATAACATTGAACATAAATGGACTAAATTCTCCAATCAAAAGACAGAGTGGCTGAATGGATAAAAAGCTAAGATGCATTGATCTTTTGCTTACAAGAAATACACTTCATCTATAAAGTCACATATATATTGAAAATAAAGGGATGCAAAAATATATTCCATGCCCATGGATATAAAAAAGATTAGGATTTGCTATATTTATATTAGAAAAAGATTCCAAGAACAAAACTATAAGAAGAGAAAAAGAAGGTTACTATGTAATGATAAAGGGTTACTGTATAATGATAAAGGGTACAATTTAGCAACACACTATAAGAATTTTAAATATATATCCACCCAACAGTGGAGCAGCAAGATATATGATGCAAATATTATTAGAGCTAATGACAGATAATAGGCCCCAATATAATAATACCTGGATACATCAACAACCCACTTTCATCATTGGACAGACCTTTCAGACAGAAAATCAACAAAGAAATATCTGACTTAAGCTGCACCATAGACTAAATGAATCAAGTAGATATTTACAGAACATTTCATCCAAAGGCTGTAGAATACACATTCTTCTCCTCAGAAGGTGGATCATTCTCAAGGAGAGATCATATGCTAAATCACAAAACAAGTCTTAAAATATTCAGAAAAATAAAGTAATATTAATCATCTTTTCTGAACACAATGGAATTAAACTAGAAATTTATAACAAAAGGAATTTTGAAAACTATACAAATACATGGATATTAAACAATATACTCCTGAATGACCAGTGGGTCAATGTAGAACTTGAGAAGGAAATGGAAAAATTTACTGAAACAAAATATAATGGAAAGAGAACACACTAAAACCTATGGGATACAACAAAAGCAGTATTCATAGGGAAGTTAATAGCTATAAGTGCTTACATCGAAAAAGAGGCAAATGTCAAATAAACAATTTAATGATGCATCTTAGAGAACTAGAAAAGCAAGAGCAAACAAAAGTCACTGTTAGTAGATGAAAAGAAAGAAAAAACATTACAGCGAAATAAATACATTTGAAATGAAAAAAACAACATAAAAATCAATGAAACAAAAAGTTATTTATTGAAAAGGTAAATGAAATTGACAAAATTTTAGGCAGACTAAGAAAAAGAGAAGATCCAAATAAATAAAATCAGAAATGAAAAAGGAGACATTACAAATGATACTGCAGAAATTCAAAGGATCATTACTGGCTACTGTGAGCAACTATATGCCAATAAACTAGAAAATCCAGAAAAAATGTACAAATTTCTAGACACATGCAACATACCAATATTGAGCGAGGAAGAAATTAAAAATCTGAACCAACTAGTAACAAATAAGAACATCAAAGCTGTAATAAAAATTCTTCCAGTAAAGAAAAGCTTGGGACTTGATGGTTTCACTGATGAATTCTACAAAACACTGAAAGAAGCACTAGTATCAATTCTACTCAAAGTGTTCCAAAAACAGAGAAGGGAATACTTATAAATTCATTCTGAGGCCAGGGTTACCCTGATGCCAAAACCACACAAAGACACATAAAGAAATAAAATGACAGGCCAATATTTATCATGAATATTTATGTAAAAATTCTCAACAAAATGCTAGCAAACAATACATTAGAAATTGTGACCAAGTAAGTGGAATTTATCCCTGGAATGCAAGGATGGTTCAGTATATGCAAACCAATCAGTGTGGTACATCATATCAACAGAATGAAGAATAAAATCATATGATCATTTCAACTGATGCTGGAAAATCACTTGATAAAATTCAACATTGTTTCATAATAAAAACCCTCAAAGATCTGGGGATAGAAGGAACATGCCTCAACATAACAAAAGCATATATGACAGACCCACAGCTAGTATCATACTGAATGGGGAGAAACAGAAAGCCTTTTCTCTACAATCTGGAATGCAACCAGGATGTTTACTGTCGCCACTGTTTTCAACATAGGACTGGAAGTCCTAGCTAGAGCAATGAGACAAGAGAAGAAAATAAAGGCCATACAAATTGGAAAGAAAGAAGTAAGATTATCCTTGTTTGCAGATTATATGAGCTGATATGTGGAAAAACTAAAAGCCTCCACCATAAAAACTATTAGAACTGATAAATTCAGTAAGGTTGCAAGATACAAAATTAACATATAATAATCAGTAGCATTTCTACATGTCAACAGTGAACAATGTGAAAAATAAATTTAAAAAGTAATTACATTTACAATGGACACATATAAAATTAAATATCTAGAGATTGAAGGTGGCAGAAGCCCATCTGGAGCAGCTGCTGCAAAGACACCAGCTGCAGCAGGGGAGGCAAAGCCTGGGCTACACACTCCGAAGAGCTGGCAGGGGCAAGAAACAGGTGATCCCAGTGGGAGCCCTGCAGGGCAGGAGCCCAGATTCTTGGGCACGGCTGCAGCTGCCCAGCTGCAGGCCCAGACCCAGGCCATCCCTAGAGGCCCAGGAAGCTGCCTGCTCCCATAGGCTCAGAAGTGCCTGCTCCCACTGTCTGGCCTCTTCCTCCTACAGGCACCTGCTCTGGTGTGGAGCAAGTTGTGATTGAGCCTGGATACTATTGAGACCCAGCTGGGTGTGCACGCACTCAGGGCACTTCTGACATGACAGCCCACTCTCACCTTGGCCCCCTTGGCCACACCAGACATTGGGCAGTGATGAGCATGGGACAGAGGCGGGGGAGCTGAGAGCAGCTCAGCACAGGCCTCTGAGTGCCCCTCGTCATGGACAGCCTGGGCACTGTGGATGACATGTTGATGTCAGCGGAAGGGAGACAGGTTCATAGGAAGTAAGAGGTTGGTCTCTGGTGAAACCCCACCTTCAAGCCAGGATGGACTGAAACCTTTGGGCCAGGCTGCCAGATCTGGGGAGAGTCTGTAACCCAGAGTAAGAAATTCATTGATGTCTTTCAGCCAATGGTGCTTTTTCCAGGCCTGCTCATAGCTGCTCATGGGCCATTTAGCATGAACTTCCTCCATTCTGAGCACATAAAAAACCCAGACTTAACCATACTCAGACACTCTCTGGGAAAACTTGCCTGCAGAAAGGAGCTACTCATTTTGGGTCTCCTGAGAGCTGTTCTGTTGCTCAAAAAAGCTCCTCTCTGCTTTGCTCATCCCCTAGTTTTCCCTTGTAACCTCATTCTTCCTGCACATTGGACAAGAACTTAGGAACTCATGAACGGCAGGAGCTGTAACAAGTTTCTGGCTGGCTCACCAAGCTTCAGTCAGTGACACACTTCCAGACTGTGGGAGTGAATAGCGGTGACACTTCTGGGGGCCCAGACCTCAGGGTTCCCCAGGCCAGATCTACTGTAACACTATAACCCTCTTGCCCTCTGCTGGCACTGGGTGGCTGCCCTACATAATGGGAAGTAGTGGCAGGGCTGGGCCAGCCCAGGAGTCATGGGTCAGAACAGGACAGCAGGACTGAAAAAGCTGTAACACAAATGGGCTAAAACATGCTCCACTGAAACACCCCCACACCCCGCTTGTCACAATTCAGGCAGTTGAAAGGAGAGAAGAGTTCCAGGCTTTCTGGAGGCCCAGACCTTGGGGCTCCTAAAGCCTGGGCTGTAACACATGGTAAAACCCTCTTTGGACTCTGTGGTTCCTGGTGTCTCTGAGCTTTCAGGTGCCATCATGTTTCCTCGTGCCCATGGCGGAAGCCACTTTTGGTACACCTCATTCAACTGCAGCCTCACACAGAGCTGGTGCCTGTGCCAGTTCCTGGAGCTGCCCACCCTTCCTCAGCTGGCACACCTGGCTGTGTGCAGTGGCTGGACCCTGCACTCACTTGCGCATACACCCCTTGCCATTCTGTGCCTGGTTTGCCCTTTTCAGGTGCGGGATCCAGATGAGTGGTGCAAGCTGAATGCAGCCTGCTGGGCCAAGTGGGCAGAATGAGCCCGGTGGGCATGAGCAAAACCCAAGCAGAGGCGATGCCAGCCACAGAGGTTCCTAGCTGGTGAAGTGACATCCTAAGGATCCTGTGACAAAATTAACTTAACCAAAGAAGGGAAAGATCCCTATAATGACAACTATAAAACGGTGATGAAAGAAATTAAAGAGGACACCAAAAATGGAAAAATATTCCATGTTTATGGATCAGAAGAATCAGTATTGCTAAAATGTCCATACTACTAAAAGCAATCTACAGAGTCAATGCAATCCCTGTAAAAATACGAGTGACATTCTTCACAGAAATAGAAAACACAATCCTATAATTTATATGAAACCGATATAAACCCCATATAAATTCTAAAGTTTATGCGACTATTATAAAGACCTGTAATAGTCAAAGTCACCCTAAGCAAAAAGAGCAAAAGTGAAAGAATCACATTACTGACTTCAAATTATTCTGCAGAGCTATAGTAACCAAAGCAGCATGGTACTGGCATAGAAACAGACATGTAGACTAATGGAATGGAACTGAGCAACCTGAAAGAAATCCACACACCTACAGTGAGCTCATTTTTTATAAAGGTCCCAGGAACATACAGTAGGGAAAAGACAGTATCTTCAGTAAATGATGCTGGGAAAACTAGATATCCATATGCAGAATAATGAAACTAGAAACTAGACCTTTATTTCTCATTGTATACAAAAATCAAATCTAAGCCTTAAATGTAAGACCTCAAACTATGAAACTACTACAAAAAAAAACTTTGGGGAAGATCTTCAAGATATTGGTCTGGGCAAAAGTTTCTTGAGCAATACACTAGCAACCAAAGCAACAATGGACAAATGGGATCACATCAAGTTAAAAACCTTCTCCACAGCAAAGGATACAATCAACAAAGTGAAGAAACAACCCACAGAATGGTAGAAAATATTTGTAAATTACCCATCTGACAAGGAATTAATAATCAGAATTTATATGGAGCTCAAACAACCCTGTAGGAGAAAATCTGATAATCTGATCAAAAAATGGGTGAAAGATTTGAATAATTATTCCTCAAAGGAAGACATAAAAAAGGCAAACAGGGATATGGAAAGGTACTCAATATCATTGGTCATCAGAGAAACACAAATGAAAACTACAATGAGTTATTATCTCATCCCAGTTAAAATGGCTTATTTCCACAGCACAGGAAATAAATGCTGGCAAGGATGTGGACAAAAGGGAACCCTCATGAACTGTTGGTGGAAATTAGTACAATCACTATGGAGAACAGTTTGGAGGTTCCTCAAAGAACTACAAATAGAGTTACCATATGACCCAGCAATTCCAGTCCCAAAGAAATGAAATCAGTATGGTTCTGAGAAAACTGGAAATTCATATGCAGAATAAAATTAGACCCCCATCTCTTGCCATACACAAACATCAGATCAAAATGATTTAAAAACTTAAATCTGAGACCTGAAACTATGAATCTAGGAAATCAGTATATCAAAGAGATATCTGCAATCCTATGTTTGATGCAGCACTGTTTATAATAGTTAATATTTGGAAGCAACTTAAGTGTCCATCAGCAGGTGAATGGATAAAGAAAATGTGATGCATATACACAATGGAGTACTATTCAGCCATTTGAAAAAATGAGATCAAAATTGGAGATCATTCTTTAAAGTGAATTAAGCCAGTTACAGAAAGGCAAACATCACATGTTATCACTTGTGGGATCCAAAAATCAAAACAATTGAACTCATGGACACAGAGAGTAGAAGGATGGTTACTGAGGCTGGTAAAACAGTGGGAGGGGTGTAGGGGAAGTAGGGATAATTAATGCATACAAAAATAGAAATAATGAATAAGATCTACTATTTGATAGCACAACAGGGTTACTATAGTCAATAATAACTTAATTGTACATTTTAAAAGAACTTGGGTGTACTTGGATTGTTTGTAACTCAAAGGCTAAATGTTTGAGCAGATGGATACCCCATTCTTCATGATGTGCTTATTTCACATTGCGTGCCTGTGTCAAAACATCTAATTATATATATATATACTTACTATATACTCACATAAATATATATACTTACTATATACTCACCAAAATTGAAAATTAAAAAGTAAATACTACTACTGGTATAAAGTGGTAATAACTGGGTATATTATTTGCCCCTACCTGATCGCTATTCTGATTGATAATTTTTTCACACAGTTATTAGCCATTTCCATAAACATTTCTTCGTGTTCGAATCTTTGATTTTTGTTCCATTAATATCTTTGTACTTTATATTATGAAAACAATGCTTTTATTACATGTGTTGAATATGTAATTTCCATATTTGAAATATTGTATTCTTTCACTTTATTGAGGTTTAAATAACTAGATATAAGTACAAAAAAAGGTATTGATATGAACATACAAAAAGTTTATCAATTAAAGGGATTTTAAGTCAAAATTTTATGTTTTAGGATATTTTTAGATTTAAAAAACCCTACCTTGACATATTTAGTAGATTGTCCTACTTTTTTTCAAACATGTTATTTTTTTTTCTTTTTGCAATTATACCATTAATTTATTTGTAATTGATTTTTATTAGATCTAGTGTAAGGTAGTGACATAAACTATTGTCATTCATGCATAGCCAATAGTACTAACAATATTTATTAAACAGCAATATGCTTACTAGAAATTGAAAGTGCTAGTTCTGGCATATGTCAAGTTTATGATCTGAATGCATGCAATAGTGGCTTCATTTCCTGTATCATTGATTTCTTTGTCATGTCATGCTGTCTTAATTACTATAGCTTTGGAATAAATTATGTTATTTTGATTTAAATGTTATCTAATATATAGAACAATTTAGGAATATTTAAATATATTTGATATGAAAAATTACTATCGGATTGCATGCCTCAAATTAAACATTGTCTAATGTCCTTCAGTAAAGTTACGTGTGTCTCTCTCAAAAAAAGTGTTCCATATCTCAGAATTTTCCTAAGTATCTAATTTTTGTTGTAATTGTAAAAAAAAGACCCACCTCATCACACTCACAAATTGTATTATTTAAATTACTGTTTAAAATTTCATTTGTAAAGCAAATATATGCCAGGAAAAATGATAATTAAGCTGTAGAAAATTAAAGAAAACTAAAACAACAATAAAACCTTGAAAGCAGGCTGAGAGAAAGAACATATTATCTATAGGGAATCATCATTTCAAAAGATATGTGAAAAATATATATATCTTGGGCTCCTTCAAGCTGGGAACCATTCAGGACAAATCCACCTTTTCTATTCAAAGTCATAGTTCCTCTGCTCACAGAGATAGATGCATATTGTGATTGCCTCCTTTGGAAAGACTTATGAGAAACTCAGAAGAATGCAAGCATCTGTCTCTCACCTACCTGTGACCTGGAAGCCTCCAGTGGGAGGGCCTTGTTTTGAGTTGTATTAGCCTTTCTGGATGGAACTAAAATCGTTTTTACATATATTGATTGATGTCTCATGTCTCCCTAAAATGTATAAAACCAAGCTGTGCCCCAAACACCTTAGACACATGTCTTCAGAATCTCCTGAGGCCGTCACAAGCGTGTCCTCAACCTTGGCAAAATAAACTTTCTAAATTAACTGAGATCTGTCTCAAATTTCCTGGGTTTGCACTTATGTGAAACCATGGAGGTCAGCAGGAAGTGGCAAGATATTTTTCAAATGGTTAAGGAAAAGTGTTGTCAACTGAAAATTGTATATCCAACATCACTGTACTTTAGGGAAGAAAGAAAAATACAGGTATTCTCAAACAAAGATGTAAAATACTTGGTAGTAGGCCTGAAGACTGGCTAATGGAAATTTTTCTAACAGAAAGAAAGTGGTAGAAGCAGCAAACTTGGAACATTGAAGGAAGAAATAAAATAGAAAAAGAAAAAAATGATTATTTATAAGAGGCTGTCCTCTTGAGTTTCACAAATCATATGGTGATTTAAATAAAAACTATAACACCATCTGATTTTAAGGCTATGATATGTACCAGTGGCCAAAGTAAAGGGAACTAAACTGATGTAAGGTTTCCACACTTCACACGCACACATACATACACATGCACACATTCAAAATGAAAAAATATTGTTACCAATAGACTCTGATATGTCACATGCATATATTCTAAAACTCAGAGCAACCACTAAAATATATGCAAAGGAGATATACTCAAAATGCTATTATTAATCAAGATGGAATCCAAATTCCATATAGAAATAAACGAAAAGAAAGGCAATAAAAGATAAACAGATTATGTAAAGTGAAGTAACTAAGAAACAGAAAGTCAAATACCATATGTTCTCACATAAGCTGAAGCTAAATAATGTGTTCAAATAGACATGAAAAGTAGAATAAGCATTGCAGAGTTGGAAGAGTAGGAGGGTGGGACAGCAATGAGGGATCAGATAATACTTAATGGGTACAATGTATGTGGGTGTTGGCTACAGTAAAAGCCCAAACTTCACCACTAAGAAATATATCCATGTAACAAAAGTGCACTTATATCTGCTAAATTTATACAAGTAAGACTTTTTTTAAAAAAGAAACAGCAGAATGAGAACCACAGAAAACAAATAAAATCTCAAACTTAAGCACTAACATAGCAATAATTAATATAATTGATCTAAACACGTAAAAAAAGACAAGCTTGGCAGAATGGATATGAAAATATGATCCAACTATATTCTCTTTACAAAAGTTGTAACTGGTCATAGCAAGTTATTGCAAAGTTTTTTTCCCTTCAACAGAGTTTTTTTGTCTAGCCTTGGTTCTGTTATCTAAACAAGTAAGCTCCTATACCATTCTGGGATTCAAATGCATTAATATTCCCAGATGAGGAGACTGTTGTGATTCAAGAACTCCTCCTGAAGTTTACTCACTTTCATCCCTTACTCTCTGAGTGAGTATTTTTAGGGTCCCCTCCATCACTTTCCTACGGGAAACAAGAGATTTACTAGAATGATTGAAACTTTATATATATTGTAAGTTTCTTTACTTCTATTGCTTGGTTCAGCTGAAAGATTGTGAAAAGAGATGGTTTTTATATTTATATAATTTTTATGTCGGGAATTCTCTCCTGATCTCAGTAAAGGGTCCCATCATATATAGTCACTTATAAAACAGTAATAATAAGAAAAATTTTTGGTGTGTTACATTCCTGAGACTTTCTACAAAATCCAAAAATATTGATTTTCATCCAAAATATGCACTATCTTCATTCTTTATTTCTATTCAGCCTCACCTCTAATTCATCAAGCCATACTTAACCTGTCACCAAGCCTCCATTAATCTTCTAAATTACTTTATTTCTTGATTCTTGCTTTATTTAATTCATTCTCTATAAAGAAGTCATTTCTTATGAAATATAAATCTCATTTTTGTATTATTCTACGTAAAACTGTTATTGGCTTCATATTTTTCATGGAATAGGTATGACCAGTTCTACTATGACATAATAGTCTGCAGCTTATTTTCATCTTCAGCAAGTTTTTATTTTATTTTTTAATAGTTTACTAATATTTTTATTTGATACATGTTTCAATTATTTATATATTGGGTTTAAAATATAGTAAATTATTAAAATTAATTTTAACTCTATCTTTTTTTAACTTTCGTTTCAAGTTCAGGGGTACAAGTGCCGGTTCATTACATAGATAAACTTGTGTCATGGGGGTTTGTTGTACAAATTATTTCATCATTCAGGTAGTTTTTTAATGGCTGTATAGTATTCCATGGTGTATATGTACCAAATTTTCTTTATCCAGTCTATCATTGATAAGCATTTAGATTGATTTCATGTGTTTGTTATTGTGAACAGTGCTCCAATGAACATACATGTACGTGTGTCTTTACAATAGAATATATTCCTTTGGATGTATACCAAATAATGGGATTGCTGGGTCTAATGATATTTCTGTCTTTAGGTCTTTGAGGAATCACCACACTATCTTTCACAGTGGCTGAACTAATTTACACTCCCATCAACAATGGGTGTACAAGTGTTCCTTTTTCTCCACAACTTCATCAGCATCTGCTATTTTTTGACTTTCTAATACCAGACATTCTGACTGGTGTGACAGGGTATCTCATTGTGGTTTTCATTTGCATTTCTCTGATGATCAGTGATGTTGTGCTGCATCTATGTCTTCTTTTGAAAAGTGCCTATTCATGTCTTTTGCCCACTTTTTTATAGAGCTGTTTTTTTTTCTTGTAAACCTATTTAAATTTCTTATAGATAGATGCTGGATATTAGACCTTTGTCAGATGCATAGTTTGCAAAAATTTTCTCCCATTCTGTATGTTTTCTGTTTACTCTGTTGATAGTTTTTTTGTGTGCAGAAACTCTTTAGTTTAATTAGATACAGTTCGTCAATTTTTGCTTTTGTTGCGATGGCTTTTGGTGTCTTTGTCATGAGATCTTTGCTGTGCCTCTGTCCTGAATGGCATTGCCTTCCAGGGTTTTTATAGTTTTGGGTTCCAAATCAGTAAATGTGATTAATCACATAAACAGATCTAAGACAAAAACCACATGATTATCTCAATAGATACAGAAAAGGCTTTTGATACAATTCAACATCCATTCATGTTTAAAATACTCAATAAACTAGGTATTAAAGAAGCATACCTCAACACAATGAGCCATATATGACAAATCTGCACCCAACTTCATACTGAATGCACAAAAACTGGAAGCATTCCTCTTTAAAACCAGCACAAGAAAAAGATGCCCTCTCTCACCACGCCTATTTAACACAGTATTGAAAGTTCTGGCTGGGACAATCAGACAAGAGAAAGAAATATAGGGCATCCAAATAGGAAGAGAGGGAGACAAGCTATTCCTGTTTGTAGACAACATGATCCTATATCGAGAAAACCCAACAGTCTCAGCCCAAAAGCTTCTTAAGCTGATAAACAACTTCAGCAGTATCAGGATACAAAATCAATGTGCAAAAATTACTTGCAATCCTATATACCAGCAGGCAAACTGAGAGCCAAATCGCAAATGAACTTTCATTCACAATTGCCACCAAAAGAATAAAATACCTAGAGATACAGCTAACTAGGGAGGTGAAAGATCTCTACAAGGAGAACTACAAACCACTGCTCAATGAAATCAGAGATGACACAAACAAATGGAAAAACATTCCATGCTCATGGATAGAAAGAATCAGTATCATTACAATGGCCCTACTCCCCAAAGCAATTTATAGATTCAATGCTATTCCTATGAAACTACCACTGACATTCTTCACAGAATTAGAGAAAACTATTTTAAAATTCATATGGAACCAAAAAAGAGCCCGAATAGCCAAGGCAATCTTAAGCAAAAAAGAACAAAGCTAGAAGCATCATGCCAGCTGACTTCAAACTATGCTTCAGGGCTACAGTAACCAAAACAGTATGTTACAGGTACAAAAACAGACACATAGACCAATGGAACAGAATAGAGAACTCAGAAATAAGACTGCACACATAAAACCATCTGATCTTCGACAAATCTGACAAAAACAAACAATGGGGAAAAGATTCCCTCTTTAATAAACGGTGCTGGGGTAATTGGCTAGCCATATGCAGAAGACTGAAACTGGACCCCTTTCTTATACCGTATACAAAAATTAACTCAAGATGGATTAAAATCTTCTTATTTTTTATATGTAAACAAAGGTCACTTCCATTCCTGAAGGAACAGTCTATGCTGTTCATTCTATGCTGTTACATTCAGTCTATGCCCTTAGGGCTACATCATCTATTCACTAGCACCTATTTAAGTCAGGTTTCTGTGGTCACTCTACCTCTCAGAATCTATTAAATAAATGGCCTCCTGTGGACAAATTCAGTCAAGAGCTCTCAGTCCTTATGTGAAACATTTTCAACAAACACAGTATTGACTATTTCACTAATTTTTTTAGCTTTCATTTTAGGTTCAAGATTACATGTGCAGGTTTGTTATATAGGTAAATTGCATGTTACAGGGTTTTGGTGTACTAATTATTTGTCATCCAGGTAATAGGCATAGTACCCAACGGTAGTTTTTCAAGCCTCTCCCTCCTCCCAGCCTTCACCCTCAAATAGTCCCTGCTATCAATTGTTTCCTTTTTTGTGTCCATGTGTTCTCAATATTAAGCTCCTACTTATAAGTGAGAACATGCAATATTTGGTTGTTTGTTCCACGTTTAGTTCACTTAGAATAATGGCCTCCAGCTCCATTTATGTTGCTGCAAAGGACATGATCTTATTCTTTTTTTAAGACTGCATAGTATCTCATGGTGTATATGTGCCACATTTTGTTTATCCAGTCTACCATTGATGAGCATTTAGGTTGGTACCATGTTTTTGTTCTTGTGAATGTTGCTGTGATAAACATCCGTGTGGATGTGTCTTTATGGTAAAATGATTTATGTTCCTTTGGATATACACTCAATAATGAAATTGCTAGGACAACTGGTAGTTCTAAGTTCTTTGAGAAATCACCACACTGCTTTCCACAATGACTGAACTAACTTACATTCCCATCAGCAGTGTATAAGCATTCACTATTAAACACAGTACTGGAAGTCCTAGCCAGAGTAATCAGGCAAGAGAAAGAAGTAAAAGGCATCTAAATAAGAAGAAAGAAAGTCAAACTAACTGTACTATTTTGTTTTCACGCTGCTGATAAAGACATACCGAAGAATGGGCACTTTACAAAAGAAAGAGGTTTAATTTGATTTACAGCTCCACATGGCTGGGGAAGCCTCACAAACATGGCAGAAGGCAAGGAGGAGCAAGCCACTTCTTACATGGATGGCAGCAGGCAAAGAGAGAATGAGGAAGATGCGAAAACAGAAATGCCTGATTAAACCATCAGATCTTGTGAGACTTAGTTACCACCATGGAAACAGTATGGGGGAAACCGCCCTCATGATTTAATTGTTTCCCACCAGATCTCTCCCACAACAGTGGGAATTACAGAAGTATAATTCAAGATGATATTTGGGTGGGGACACAGAGCCAAACCATATCACTAACCCTGTTTGCAGACGATATGATTCTATACCTAGAAAACTCCATAGTCTCTTCCTAAAAGCTCCTTGATCTGATAAACTACTTTAACAACATTTGGGGGTATAAAAGCAATATATACAAAATTAGTAGCATTCCTATATACCAATAACATTCAGGCTGATTGCCAAATGAAGAATGTAGTTCCATTCACAATAGCCACAAAAAGAATAAAATACCTAGGAATACAGCTAACCATGAGATGAAATATTTCTATTCTGCTAATTTTTAGGAACTTTCTCACCTTTTGACCTATGTTTTTTCTGCTCCTATTTGGCCTCTTGGATTTCTGTACATATATTTTCATTACCTCCACTGTATCTTACTTTTTTCACTATGAAATATCAGAAATTCTAAAGGCTTCATTCTCAGCCTTTATTACCATTGATTTTTTGTTATTATTAGTAGTGTTATTTTTATTTTGTATATGCTCTCCTTCCTTTGTCAGTAGTTCTCATCCAGAAGCACATATATAATGGCTATTTTAAGCTTTGTTAACATGTACATCCTGGGATCTCATTCTGGAAATTCTTTCTTAATTGATCTGCAGTGTTGCTCAACTATTTTTGCTTATTATTAAATTATACGATGTATATAACACTGAGAACTTGTACCATACAGACAATAATAGTCACTGATAATTTGAATACTGTCCTTGTCTATTCATTCTAAAACCTACTTCTCTAATCCATAACATTTTAATGAAGCCCAACATTCAACTACTCTCAAGAGCAGCTCCAATAAATATGACCAAAAACAAAAAACAAGATCCATAAATTTCTTCCCTCCACTGCCCACACAAACCAAACTTAATTGTCTGTTTTCTACCCCTTATTGGGTGTACTAAGAGCTAACCAGTTAACTAGTTTCCATTGTAAGGCAATAAACTATGTCTCAAACAGATTATCTTAGGCAGTGCCCAACAGACAGTAAGTTAAAGAGTTGAAACCCAATTTCAAAGTCTACAAATTTCAAGATTAGGTTTTGTTGTTTGCTTGTTTTCCTGCAGGACAATAGATTTGTGATGTGATTAAAGTGACTCTAAAATCATGTTTGTATTAATTATTTTTCAAATTCCTTGATTGTGGTTTAAGTGTCAATTTGTTTTAAGAGTTAAAAAAAAACCTGGAACAGATACAGTTCACTGACTACACAGGATGATGGTAAATCTGAAACATCACCTAGTGTTCAAATAGTCTCAAACAATTTAACTCTTGCCCCTGTTGAACTCATTGAAAGGCAAGCATCACTATTTAGCTCCAATTAAACAGATGAAAGGTGGGGAAGAAAAGAGAGTGGAGGAGAGGGAGAAAGAGATTAATAGAGGAGATCACATCAATTTTCAGTCAAACATTAAGTGCTTATTTACTAGTCCTAATATAAAGCTCTTTATCAATCAGTGATGACTATCTTGATACTCATTGATTTAGTTGGTTGAAGGATCTTATCCAGATAATTAGTTGATATTTTTAAATTAATGTAAGTGATTCTGTTACTCAAAGTGTTTTTTGTTTATAAATGAGAAAAGAAATAATAGGTTTCTATGTGACATTTTGTGGAATAATGATTCAATGGAAGGATAATCTTATGTTTTCCCTTACATTAAAGGGCAGATGTGAAAGAGATATGAATTACATAAATAAAAATGATAATTTCAAAAACAATTATGGAATGCTATGGGGGATTTAACTAATGAGTCTGTAATTACTAGTCCATAACATTTTAATTAAGGTTCTAATTTGAAAATATGGTTGGCTATTCACAGGGGTCTTTAATTTTCTTCTTCTTATTATTTCTATTAATTAACCTAAAGTGATAGTTGAGATTTCTTTAGCAGGTGAAGAAATAACTTGAAGGAAAACAATACCATCAATGGGATGACAGATTAACATAAAATTGTTATAAAAATTACAAACGTAGAAACCTGTCACAATTGAAAAATATCGTATTACTGTTCACTAAATAGATTATACCATTTTAAACAGAAAAAATATGTGCTTAATCAACAGTAATAGCATCACAGTATTTTTACTGTTTAAAATTCTGTTTAAGTACATGTTCTCTCTTTTAATCTCTCCCACATATTCTCTCTTTAATCTCTCCCACATATTTTGACAGAATATCTGTTCCAGCTATCCATTTTGATAATTTGGAGGGCTCAGATTTGGGAAAAACCTGAAAATTTTTTTTGCATATTTATCAAGTTCAATTGTTGTTCACGGTTCACTTACTGGTGTATCCATAGAGTATATGCTTTTTTTTTTTTTTTTTTTTTTTTGAGACAGAGTCTCGCTCTGTTGCTCCAGGCTGGAGTGCAGTGGCATGATCTCTGTGGCTCACTGCAACCTCCACGGCTTACTGCAACCTCTGCCTCCAGGTTTCAAGTGATTCTCCTGCCTCAGCCTCTGGAGTAGCTGGGATTACAGGTGTGCACCACCACGCCCAGCTAATTTTTGTATTTTTAGTACAGACGGGTTTCACCATGTTGGCCAGGCTGGTTTCAAACAGTGACCTCAAGTGAACCACCTGCCTTAGCCTCCCAAAGTGCAGGGATTACGAGCGTGAGCCACCGTGCTGGCCCCAAGCATATGCAAGTTTAGTGAAATAAGCAAACAAACAATATAAAGCTAATGGCTTACTACTGATTAAATTTTGACTATGTATAAGACAGTTTTCACTAACAGATCTAGAGGAGAAACTCAATGGGTAGTGGGGCAAGGGCAGCTAAAACATGGGCAAAGAATGAAGAAATTTGTTAATTCAAACTAATTGACTCTTAGTAAGAAATAATTCTTCTTATCTACAATAATAGCAAGAGCCAATAAACTCTTCATCATTTCTTTTTTTTTTCCTCCTTGGCAAATTATTTTAGGGCTATTAGAGACAAATTCTTGGCTAGGTGGAAAAGGCCTAACTTGCTTGTCAAATATAATTCTAATTTGTTTGCCTGCTTTAAACAAAGATGACTGAAATACCAATCATACATTTAGCAAGTTAAAAGATATGGTGCTTTAAGTCAAATATGTTAACTTTTTATTTGGTAGAAATATTATCTGTGCTTTATTTTTAATATCTGTTAATCGTTCATTAGTGACATAATATTGTTCATAACTCAGAATGGTATCAAGATCCATCAGAAGGAAAGAACTGAAAATCAACTGAAATTAAATTTTATAATATTTCATTTTTAATTTTGTTTATTTCTTCAAATCTGGAGAAGCAGATTAAAACTGACAGCCCAATGCATATTAGAGTGGAATATTAACTGAAATTTGAAGAATGTATAATAGATTTTGACTTCTTTGTGGCTTTGTGTCTCCTTTTGAGTAAAGAGTTTAAAAAGCTAAAATAAAGTGACTGCAGGAGAAAAAATTAAAAGTTAACCTCTACAATGATAGCTAAAAGTGTTTGAACAGAAACGCGTGTGTATGTATGTATATAGTGAAATATATTACAATATTTTGGATACATATACAATTTTCTTTCTTCTTTTCTTCTTGAGTGAAAAGACATAGCAGAAAATTAGAAACTGTCCAATGAAAACCCACAAAGGTGTAAACCATTTCTAGTAAATTCATATGGACCTCTCAACAATTAGGCTAATGGATAGATTAATGTTGTTCTTATTACTGAAAGCTGTGAGGTATATTAATAATGCAGCATTTAGAGTCAGTATAAACATAAGATCTTTACTGGCAAATTGCATATATTTGCATAACATGATAATAAGGTCTTATGGGGAGGTAGTTAATACAAACATTTATTTTTGTGCTTTCTGGGCTGAATTAATAGCTAATATGAGAACACTGAACATACATTCTGTGGAGATTATCCTTCTCTGAAATATATTCCAGAAATTACACAAAATTTTCACTAGTTAGAATTTCATAAGATTTAACCACCCAAAACCTACCTCCATTCTCCCACACACAAGTGCCATTAAGAGTCAGGTATGAGGTTTTTTGTGAATCCAGATTAAGTTTTGATTAAGGAATCAGAGATGTGTAGCTTAACCATTGGAGCTCTTGGATGAATACAATCAGTGTATTGAACAAGAATCCAGCTGTAAAAAGCATAAGTAGTAAGTTGACAGGGAGTAGAAGTAGGGAAGTAAAGAGGTAAAATACAAATATCAAGCCCATTACACTTTGAGAAAATGCAAATATTGGTGACATTCTCTAGTGCAGGACATAATAATCTGAACATTTATGGAATCTCTGATGCTTAAGCAGTTCATACATAATGAAGCTTTCAATAGTTAAGAGTGGAATAAGTTGAATAAGAAAATGTAAAGTGGTAAACATAAGTTTTAAATACATGTTAAGGGGCAAACCAAGCTCTAAGAGCTGCTTTCTTGAAATACTCCTTGAATCCCAGATGATAGGAGTCTTTCTGTCTCTACATTCCTTCTACATTCCCAGAGTACATTGTTTTAAGCTCCTCTTAGCTATTTCTTCATCAGTCTAGTCAGTAAATATCTATTGAGAAACAATTAGGCAGGCATCAAACACTGGTCTAATTTGCAAAGTGAGTGACAGTAATGAAAAAAAAAAAAGAGACAAAATTGCTTGCCTCATGGGGTTTATTTCTAGTAGAAGCTGTTAAGAAAAAATAATAATTTGGTTATAAAATGGATCTGTTCTTTGAAATAAATCCACCCTTCTGGGGGCACATATAGGCTTATGTATCTTCTGAAGTGTGTGTGTGTGTGTGTGTGTGTGTGTGTGTGAGAGAGAGAGAGAGAGAAACAGAAACAGAGAGAGAGAGAGGAAGAGAATCATGACAGTGACTTGGCAAGCTTAAATTTACTTGTATCTTTGAATCTACTGATTCATGCAACTCTCCTGTCTTCATCTTGGGGAAATTCTCTCTGGCTTAACAATTAAGGTCAGAGCTAAAGTAAAAAGTATACATTTAGAACATGAGAAAATTTGAGCAAGAGTGTCCCTTTTAGCATTACGAGGCTAACCTCACCTCTGGCTACCACTTCCAGAGACCCTTGCAGCTTCAGGCTTCTTAAAAAATATCTTAAAACATACAGAATGCCAACTGTATGAGGTGCCTGTAATACACCTGGGCACCTCAGAAAAGACACCTGAGCACCTTAGTAGATGTGACTAAGAACACAGCGAGAACAGTAGTACCACATCATTAGGGGCTGAGGGTCTACATGGATCTGGATGCCAGGTTCAATGAAAAGGCCAGAGACTCACCCCTATTTCTGGTGCTCTGTCTAAAGATATCCTCTGCTTCCAGTCATCTGTTTTAAGTGCTGCTTCTCCCATGGTTATTGCTACATTGTGCAACATCAATGTTTGTTCTTTTATATTTTACTGTATTTTATAATATTAGGAAGCAGAGAATATGCAATTTTCCCAGTGCTTGAATATAGTAAGTACTTAATATATAATGAATTCCCTTTCCATAAGAGATTTTATATCCTGTAGTATGTTACTATCCAGCCATATATCACATCAGAAACCTACTGTGACAGAGTTTATTTGGGATCCTGATTCAACAATACCGTGGAAGTTATTAAAAATAAAGTTGAAAAAAGTAGCCTCTGCTATTTTTCAAGTGTTTGTATTTAAGGATAGGAAACATATTACAGGAATGTATTCTCAGAATAGGTCAAACATACTTACTTGGTTTCTATTAAACATACAAATAACCAATATACAGATTGTTCTGGCAACAATTTTCCTTTGGATTAGTCTTGAGCAAATACAACGGTAATCTACCACTTGAATACATAGTGTCTAACCTTGCATTTTTTAAAATAAAAGTCCTTATCCTTTATATTATTTTTCCTTTAGAAAAACAATAATTGGGTAGAACAGGTATTCCTGCTATCTGGCAGATGAAGAATTTAAGCCATAAAATTAAATTACTTTTGAAGGTTAAAAAGTGGTCAATATAGAAATTTAGACTCAATTGTTGTAAAACTAAATATCTAATGACAAATAACAAATGGAAGCTCGGTGACATAACTAATTTAAAATGTATTTATTATAGGTACTTAGAATATCCTTCATTAAGTATTTGAGTTCTATATTGTCAATGATGATAAGGCAACTCATGATTTACAGTTTTCTTTTATCCTACCTTGTTCATACATGACAAAACAAAACAATATTTTGCACCATAACTCAGCTTAGAGGGCTTACGACAAACACAGTGAGCCATCCCCATGAGCATGTCACCTTGCTGTACCTCTGTCACCTTTACTTTTTTTTCCATCGACATCATTTCTTGCTTTTATGTTTCCTTTTTTCTTTATAGTACATTTTTTGAAAGATTCCTCTATACTGCTTTCTTCATTCTTCTCCATTTTTTTTCTATAAAACCCATTTTTATCAGGCATTTGATCCTACTAAAAATGCTCTTGTCAAGGTCACCAACAGTGGCCACTTTGGTAAGTCCAGTCGTCTAGTCTCAGAAATCTTATTGCCAGCAGCCTTTCATACAGTTGATTTTCCCATCTTTCTCACTCTTTACTGCTAGTACAGTACAGTTTATGCTCTTCCTACGTCAGTAGTAGCAGCTTTCCTGTTTTTCTTTATTGTTTTTTGCTCTTCTCCCTGACTTGTGTACACTGGAGTGACTTAAATCTTGATTGTGTTAGCACTTCTTTTCATATGTGCACCTGATATGCTGGAGATCTCCATCAGTGTCAGTACTTTGTGTTCTATTTATATGATAGAAGACTCCTCAGCTTGTTACAGTTCTGATTTGTCTCATAAACTTTCGATGTTGTGTACGTTAAGCTTGATCTATCTCAAACTGTAAAAGGCAAAACTAAACAAGTGATCTTCAGTCCCAGACCTGCCCTCCTGATGTGTTCCCCTTTCAGTCAATAATGATGCCTTCTTCCACTTAAATGGGTCTATTTTTTTAAATGGCTAGTCTTGACTCCTCTTTCAACTCACATGTGCTATTTCAGAACATTTTCTTGCATTCTTCAAAAATTATCCTGATTTCAACTACTTCTCCCTACTTCTATTGCTTTTTCCCTAACACTTCCCAACTTTATTTCTGGCCTGGATTGTTTTAAATGCCTCTTAATTGATCTCCTTGCTTTGAATCTTTCTCCACCTTCTATTTCATTATCATAATAACAGCCAGAATAATTGTACAATATCAGTCAGAAAACCGTTTCTCTGCTCTCCCTGCAATGGCTCTGCATTTCACCTAGAATCAAAGGCCTTAACAATGGCCTGTAAGTCTCCACAGCATCTTACCCTTTTCCTTTAATGCCCAGATTGCACATCCTATTACTCTCTGAACTGCATACTCTGTCTCACTACACTGGACTTGTCTTTATTCCTCACACTTTCTGTACATGCTTTTGTATGGCTGTTCCCTTTTCCTAAAATGTTCTTGTTTCCCAAAATCACCATGGCTCCCTAATCTCTCTCAAATCATGAATCATTTTTCAAAGAAGTCTACTATGGCTACTCAAATTACAAGTCTTCGTCCACATCCACCATCACTGTAAGCAATGTTTTCCCATAAAATCTATCTTCATCTTACCTATATAATACTTAACCTATTTACTGACTTGCTTACATGTCTAGACACAAAAAATAAGATTTATAATGGAGGACTTTCATTCACTTTGTTCAAAGATTTATATCCAATGCCTAAAATAGTACCTGTCATATAGTAAGGGCTCAATACGAATTTGTTGAATAAAATGAAACCATGATTCAATTTCATTTTTATGTAGGACTCATACTGTCACAATAAGTAGTTGTATAATACAGTTTTTTAGCTTAAAAATTCGATAAGATGATTGAATATTTAGGGTGTCTTCTATAGCACCTATGCTTTCTTCATACTAAGAGTATATGAAATGGTATTTTATTATTAAATATTAAAGTTATTTATAACAAAATATTGAAATATTTAAAATATTGCATATTAAAGGCATTGAAATATGTAGCTTCAGGCAAAGTAAAAGAGATGCCTTTCTATAGATGTCTTCTGTCTTGCTTTATACTTTCAGTTATAGGGAACTTTAAACAAAATATACTTATCATTATCACATTGCATGATCAAACAAATATATGGCAACTATTATTCGCATTTATGTTTTTAACACATCTTAGAGTTTAAAAGATTATAGATGATACATATAAAATAAAAGTAATCATGTGATTTAAAGACAACACTTCTTTTTTCCAGCATGGAATGGAGTCTTACTATACTAGTGATAACTGTGCTATCTGAAGTAGGCATGAATTATAAGTCCTTATTGCACAAAGATAGAATATGACTCAGAGATTTTTGACATTGAAAAGCTATTACTTATAGCCAGTAAACTAGGCTGAACAAAATCCCAGGTGCTCTGACCCCTGTGCACTGTTCTTTCTCCTGAAGCATTTACTCACAAGACATGTTTTTCTTGTAAATTTGATATGAAAGCCAGTCACCAAATATTGATATCCTAAGTCAGGTGGTTTTGCTCAGCGAATGGTTTAGTGACATATAGAGGAAACAAATTACCCAGTAATCAATATACTGCACTGCTGTTCTCTTCCCCACCTTATCTGAATGTACATTCTAGTGAGGCAAGACAGGTAATGAACAATAAACAAACAGCATGAAGTCATGAAAGCCACAGAAGAAAATGGGGTAAAAAAAAAAAAAGGAAAGAGAGAAATTTAAAGGGATGAAGGGAATATTCAAAATTTTGAAAGGAATAAAAGGAAGTATTTTCTACACGAAAGGTGATTTCTTAGGGACGATTATAAACAATAAATGAGACTGTGTTCTATTAACCTTCCTAGGAAAACTTTACTAGGATACACAGCTAATAGCTGTGGTAGGCAAAATAATCCTTCCCATTGCCAGTGATGTCTCAATCCCCACAACTTGTGAATATATTACCTTATGTGGCAAGATGAAATTAAGGTTGCTAATCAGCGGACCTTGAGATGAAGAGATGGCCTGGATTGCCCAGGTAGCCCCTATGCAATCTCAGCACCTTTATAAGTAAAAGAAGGAGAGAAAGGAGTCAGATTTAGAGAAGATACAATGCTGGAAGGAGAGGTCAGAGTGACAGGATCGCTGGCTTTGAAGAAGCAAGAGGACCATAATCCAAGAAACATGGGCAGAGCAAGAATTTAGGAAAGGCAAAGAAACAGATTATCTGTTAGAGCCTCCAGGAAAGAATACAGCCTGCCAACACTAATTTCTGCCCAGGGAGACTCATTAAGGATTTCTGATATCTAAAATAGTAAAATAAGATGTTTTCTTAAGACACTAAATGTGTGGTAACTTGTTATAGTGGCAATAGAAAACTAATACAATAGCTTTTGTTTTCTATTGTGTCATTTCTTAATTAGGAAATATTTAAAACGTTTAAAAATAAAAATGAGATACATTTATATTTCTTCCTTAGAGAAAATTAATACCTACAATTTATTTTACTGTATTATTTTTCACACATCAATTTAACATTGCTAAGATAATACAGTTTTATCTTTTGAAACTTAAAATAATTTTGTCTATATTTTGATTTTTTTTTTTTTTTGACAGAGTCTCACTCTGTTGCCCAGGCTGGAGTGCAGTGGTGCGATCTCAGCTCACTTAAACCTCTGCCTCCTGGATTCAAGCATTCAAGCAATTCTCCTGCCTCAGCCTCTCAAGTAGCTGGGACTAGAGGTGCACACCACTATGCCTGGCTAATTTTTGAATTTTTAGTAGTGACTGGGTGTCACTATGTTGGCCAGGCTGGTCTTAAACTCCTGACCTAGTGATTTACCCTCCTTGTCCTCTCAAAGTGCAGGGATTACAGGCATGAGCCACCACACCCAGCCTTGATGTTTTTTATGATACATAAAGTGGAAAATTCTGATAGTATTAGTATCACTTATTATTGTAATTGCTTCCTACCATTTCATTATTTACTTATACCATAACTATTTGTCTTCTGCTAAACATTTAACCTTTTCTTTTTTATTGCAAATAATGCTACAAATAAATTGAGTTATTTCTAGTATACTAATGCATCATAATACTCTAGGTCCTGCTCTTTTTGGGCTATCAGTATTTCAGCACTCAGAACAAAATAACTTTACTGAACTAGGTCAACAAGTAAACCTCTATTTTTTATGATAAAAATAGGATGTCTAGATCAGTGGCCATTTGTTCCCATTCCCTCACATCAGTCCATGAAAAAAGTAAATGTGTTAGTCCCTCTCTTGACATTTAAAGAAAATAGTACATCCGCCATTTGTTCCCATTCCCTCACATCAGTCCATGAAAAAAGTAAATGTGTTAGTCCCTCTCTTGACATTTAAAGAAAATAGTACATCCTACTGAGAGCTTTACCCTTCCAATTAGCATTTCCCTCAGAGATTTCCTTCCTTCACCAGATTAGTCAGCAGTAGTCTTCTGATGAGAATTTGAAGATATCAGTTTTCTTTTATTTGAACCCACCAAGAAGAAAATACATTTATGTAGCTTTCTTTGGCATAGGTAGCTCACTGTGGGTGATAATAAAGACCTGTTATTATTATTTGATATAATGATTTGGCAAGCTGGGATGATCAAAATGGTCTTGCAAGAAAGTGCATATCCATAAAAGGTGAAAAAAGTTACTTGAGCACACCAGGGCACTATTCTATGCTTGAAAATATGAATCAGCATATTGAAGAATTAAAATATTGTGTGAATAATTTGGACAGATCAAAAGAAGCATATTAACTCTAAAATTAATTTTCCCCATCTACTATTCAGCATGAAGGTGAATAATCATGCTCCTCTGCTCAATTCTAACTATACTTAGTTGTGGTAAAGTTAATTTTTTAAGCAAATGGCCTTTAACACATGCAGGCTTCTGCTGACACATTTATTTTGAAAGAATGGAATGGGAGAGATGGAGATGCAAGTATTTGTATTTTTAACTTTTTTATTTTATTTTATTGTTGTTGTTCCTTACATAATAATTTTTATCAAGCAGCTTTTTGACATATCCTTTGTTTTTCTGAGCGTATCTAATCAACAAAGAATGAGTCCTCCAAGCATATAAAAATAAAATACTCATGGGCATTTAGCAATGAAGGATTAACCCCTGCCCAGGGGTTTGATAATCCCAGTGTTAATGAAAAACTGAGGTTCTAAATATGTCTTGATAAAAAGAGAACCTGAGGCCGGGCGCAGTGGCTCACGCCTGTAATCCCAGTACTTTGGTAGGCGCCAAGGCGGGCGGATCACGACGTCAGGAGATCGAGACCATCCTGGCTAATGCGGTGAAACCCCGTCTGTAAAAATACAAAAAATAATTAGCCGTGCCTGGTGGTGGGCGCCTGTAGTCCCAGCTACTCGGGAGGCTGAGGCAGGAGGAGAATGGCGTGAATCTGGGAGGTGGAGCTTGCAGTGAGCCAAGATCGCGCCACTGCACTCCAGCCTGGGCGACAGAGCGAGACACCGTCTCAAAAAACAAGAGAACCTGAGGTGTATGGTGACCGTCTCAAAAAAAAAAAAAAAAAAAAAAAGAGAACCTGAGGTGTATGGTGACTGTAGAAGCTCTTGTTCCAAGATGAGCCTTAACAAACATCGCCCACTTTTCACATCCTTTTGTGATCTCTCCCTACATTGCAATAGATCTGAGCCTGAGGCTCACTTTAAGTCATAGAATGGCAGACCTAAGAGTGCCAACTTTAGGACTAAGTCTTAAGAAGGTTTGGCAGAAGCTGCTTTTGCACTTTTGGGAGCCCTGAGCTGCCAAATATGAAGTTCAGCTTCTTTATTGCACATACAAATGGATAGACTGTGTGGAGAAGCCAAGCGAAGAGGAAGAGGTCCTGAGTCCATACAAAGAGATGCAGACTTCACAGCTTCCCAGATGATCCAAACCTTCCAGCCCTTCATTCCTCAGAGCCAGGCAAATGAGTGGAATCATCCTGGACATCCCAGTCCCAGTGGCCATCTAATTACAACTACATGAAAGACCCTAGGCAAAAACAGCAGAACTGCCCAAGTAAGTCGGATAATAATGCATTAGTGTTTTAAGTCACTAACGTTTGTAGTGGCCTTAGAAACCAATAACCAAAGCAGGGATTCATGAACATGGGAGCAATCATAGGGGTCCTTTGGCTTATTATATGTCTTCTGTCATTTTGTCATTTAAATGGGCCTATCACACAGCACTTTAGAAAGCTGTGCTCTTATCAGAGATAAGAAAGCTGAATGTTTATAGATTTTATGACAGGTTTTAAATATACTGAACCTATATTACACTCCAACGATGAAAAACTCAGTGAAAACCATTCACATATGCATAAGGCAGAAATGATCATGTCACATTTTTGCTTAAAACTTTCCAATGTTGGCCGGGCGCGGTGGCTCATGCCTGTAATCCCAGCACTTTAGGAGGTCGTGGCGGGTGGATCATGTGGTCAAGAGATCGAGACCATCCTGGCCAACATGGTGAAACCCTGTCTCTACTAAAAATACAAAAATTAGCTGGGCGTGGTCCACGCCTGTAGTCCCAGCTACTCGGAGGCTGAGGCAAGAGAATCACTTGAACCTGGGAGGCGGAAGTTGCAGTGAGCCTAGATCGCGCCACTGCACTCCAGCCTGGCAACAGAGTGAGACTGTCTAAAAAAAAACAAAAGACTTCCCAATGTTTTCTCTTATTATTCAAAGCTAAATCCAAATCTTTACCTTGGCCTGCAAAACTCTAAATGATCTCTGCCTCTGTAATGTGTCTGATTCTATCCCTACTGGTGTCTCTCTCTCACTTTCTCTCCCTCTTTCTCTCTCATCCTTTTTACCCACCTCTTCCCCCATCCCTGTTTTATGGTGCTAGATTCCTTAATGTTCCTGGATTAGTACACACATTCCTTGGAGTGTTTGCTTTTGTTGTTTTCTCTGTCAGTAATAACTGCTGAAATTGCTGAGTATTTAGTAGGTGACAGGCACTGAGCTTTAAAATTTTTAATGTAAACTGCAAATCAACTCATAAGGTATACTGCCCATTTGGAGAAACTGAGACAGAGAACATTAAAACCCTTGCCAAGATAGCAAGAGTCTTAATTATAAAGACTTGTATTATTATTTGATAAAATAGTTTGGCAAGCTGGAATGATCAAAATGGTCTTGCAAGAAAGTGCATATCTATAAAAGGTAAAAAAAAGTTGCTTGAGCAAAGCAGGGCACTATTCTATGCTTGAAAATATGAATCACCATATTCAAAAAATAGATATTACATGTTTGAGCATAGTGAATAATTTTGAGAGATGAAAAGAAGCATATTAACTCTAAAATTCATTCTTAATGAAAGAACCAAGATTTGATTACAGGCTGCCTGGCCTAGAATTCCTATACTTAAGCACCATAGTACAGCTCTCTGAAATACTCTTCTACTAAATACCTTAACAGTTATTTCTCAACTTTCTTCATGCCTTTGCTTTAATGCAATCTCAGAAGAAGGGTCACTTTTCTAACTCTATATAAAATTAGAAGCCTTATCATCTGTATCCTCTTACCCTACTTTATCTTTCTTCATAACACCAATCATGGTTTGCATGCATATTTATTTGTTCATTGTTCATCTCTCTTTCTCCTAAAAATTAAAAAAGTAGTGAATTTTTCTTTGCAGGTCACTTCCAAGTCCTAGTGCCAAGAAAGGTACCCCCAAAATAACAGGCACTAAATAAATATTTGTCAAATGAAAAAAAAAAAGAAGACATAACTTCAATCCACTTTGCAATGTGAATATAGTTTGACCATACACTGCTTCTCTATTTTTATTCTTTCACTACTGCAAATTGTTATTTAAATACTAATTTTCATTTATATTTTATATTTTCATTTATACTTTATATTTTGTGGCTCAAGTTGGTTATAGATTTTTTAAGTGCAGGATATAACTTATTTTTTAATAATCTATTACTTTATGCATTATGAGCAAACAAATCCATTTCTTAAGTGTGCCTGATTCTTTTTCATGAATTACAGACTCAACAACAAATTCAAGTAACAATGACTTCTAGATCTACACTGCAATATGTATCTAAATTCTGATTAATAACATTAGCTTACATCTTACCATTAATTTTCTTATCGTAAAATGGGGATGATGATATTAATGGCTATATGTTTACCTATGAGTAATGATAGGTTACATTATCATGCAGTGACCATATGTTTTGGAATTCAAAATAAGTTTTGAGGGTGAGCTTTAGAAAAGTTATATATAAAATCCCCAGCAATGATTACAGCCATGTGTAATATAAAACATTTATATTTCTGCATTGAAATCCATGAATACTTACCAACAGTAGAATTTTTTAAAGATAGCATATAGCCTTAGGACAGAATAGTTCACAACTTGTCATGGTTTAGCTGCTACACGTTATAATAAAACTTTCATTTTTGACAGTTTTTATAAATGAGTCAGAAAGAAAAATGAGAAGTAAAATGACCAAAGTTTATAAATTTCCAACTTATGGAAGCCACTATATATAAAAAGTTTATCAATTTATTGATTTAGTAATTGCACATTAAGTTTACACATACTAATTTTAACTAACATTATTAAATTAAAATAATTCATAGTACTAGTATGGAGAATGTTGTGAAGATATAACCAATTTTATATGCTTTTATAAATACAGACAATCCCTGACTTACAATAATTCAACTTAAGATATTTCAACTTTATGATGGTGCAAAAGCAATATGCATTCAATAGAAACTGTACTTTGAGTACCAATATAATTGTTCTGTTTTTCACTTTCAGCAGCATTCAATAAAGTACATGAGATATTTAACACTTTATTATAAAATAGGCTTTCTGTTGGATGATTTTGCTCAAGAGCAAGCCATTGTAAGTGTTCTGAGCACCTTAAAGGTAGGCTAGGCTAAGTTATGATGTTTAATAGGTTAGCATATTAAATCTATTGTTGATTTACAATATTTTCAACTTATGATGTGTTTAGTGGGACAGAACCCCATCATAAGTCAAAGAGAATCTGTAGTGCAAATTGATAAAAATGGTTTTGATGGTGGGAGGAGTTTTCTAACCTGACATCTTCTCAGTAAGCCTGCGTTCACCAATTTACACACATGTGAAAAGAGTTGTAATGTAACATATTTTGGTAATTTATAAGACAGAATCGTAAGTCCTTGGGTTTCATTGTCCTTACAAGATATTGAAAATAAACTAAATGTCATATATGTCATCATGAAAACACTCCTCTTATAAATCTCTCCGCACTTAGGAATGATGCAATTAATTATTTTAAAATATAGAGCTGCTGAATGTTATTGCCTATCGGAAGATATTTCAACATTAATGAACAAAAATTTAATAGAATGCTTTAAATTATATAGAAGCTAAAAGGCCTAAGCAAAGGCTAATGGCCTCTGTTTATTTTATTGTCCACTAGATTATCCCGAGAACAGAAAATGCATATTAATTCATTTAGTTGAACATTTTAAATTTCTATTGCTCAACCAATTTGAATTGTTATACATATTCTTGATACTTTTAATACATATAATACAAAGACTACTTTGTGAAATTTGCATATTTTGCTGGTTGTTATTAGCTGACCAAAAAGCAAACAAAAATTCACTAGAATTGTTGAAGAATGAAATAAAATAGAAAACATATTACAATGTAAAATGAATAAGAAAGAAGTAAAATTTCAGAATATTTTGAAATGCTGACTTCAATGGAGTAGAGGATGATATTTACTCTTGGCCGAAGTAAATAGTAAATGTATTATTTTGGAGTGACAAAAAGTTTAGTTACAGGCCTGGCACGGTGGCTCATGCCTGTAATCTCAGCACTTTGGGAGGCCGAGGTGGGTGGGTCACCTGAGGTCAGGAATTTGAGACCAGTCTGGCCAACATGGTGAAACCCTGTACAAAAATTAGCTGGGCATGGTGGTGGGTGCCTGTAATCCTAGCTACAAAGGAGGCTGAGGCAGGAGAATCGTTTGAACCCAGGAGGCTGAGGTTTCAATGACCCAAGATGGAACCACTGCACCCCAGTCTGGGTGACAAGACTCTGTCTCAAAAAAAAAAAAACAAAAAAACGTTGAGTTACAGTTTTCAAGTACTTTTTAGTGATCATGGCCAAAAAAGCTGCAATGCTTTTGTCTTAAAGGTGATCGTTAACTTTTGACAAGATTTGCCCAAAAGGAAGATGAGGCTGGTAAAATGGAACTATCAGAAAAATTGATCATTCAATCAAGCGGTCATGCAATCATGAGGTTTTGAGTAATTAATTGTCATGATGCCTTGTCAGAACTTGGGAAATTGTAATTTCATAGAATAACATTTTTAAGTTGCCAAGTGCCCTTATTTCTAACAGTGAAGATCCTTCAAAAAAGATCTTGACAATTATAACCCCAATTTATAATTATGAAATTATCCTCACTGTTGAAATAAAGGGGCTCAGACCAAAGTGGATGAAATGCCTCCTGAGGGTTCCTCTCATTACATTAAAGTAGATTTAAAGCACACATGAGTGCATGACCAAAGAAGGCCAATAAGAAAAATAATATATGCCCCCTTTAAGATGATGCCATGTGGACTCACTTTAGAATAACTGATAATTGTAAATATATAATGAGTACATAAAATGTCTATTAAGCATAAATAAGATAAATAAGGATGAGTCATTAATATGCTTCAAATAAGAACATGGTATTAAAATATGCCAGAGAAAATGTAGGCACTGTTAAATCAGGTTTAGCCTAAATCTACCTCCTTATGTATTTTAAGTTCAGCCTAAAGTTTTCTCTGTACATTATGAATTTAACCTAAATGTAATTGTAAACAAACTGTTTACTGAGATTTGGCCAACCAAAGGTGGGTGCTGAAACTGTGTTCAAATAAGGAAAATGCCAAGCTGTAACCAGTCCAACTGTTTCTGTACCTCACTTCTGTTTTCTGTATGTCACTTTCCTTTTTCTATTCATAAATTTTCTTCTACCACATGGCTGCACTGGACTATCTAAGCCTACTCTGGCTTGGGAGGCTGCCCAATTCTTGAATCATTCTTTGCTCAATCAAATTCTTTTAAATTTAATTTGGCTGGAGTTTTCTTTTAACAGCATATTCAGCCATTTTACTTTTCTACCTCCACCAAAATTGATTCATGATTGGCCAATATATCAGACAGCTTAAATAAATCAAAAACAAAGATTAACAAAAAATAAGTAATGGTATAATTGGAGAGAGAGCGGGGAAGAAAGACACAAAGAGAAAAAGAGGCAACTTTGGAAATATACTATTATTTATTTATGGCTAGAAAAAACAAATTACTTATTGTTCATACACAGGAGTCTTGAGAATGATGACCCAACTTCCCAATGAGTTACAGAAACTTATACACCATTTTAAGGTTACAGAAAAAATGGAGGCTTAGATTCTGGTAAAATGGGATATGAGAGAAGGAGAAGAGGCCTGGCTTGGAAGGGTGGCCTTGTTATTTAGATGAAGCCTCCTTCAGGGAGAATAGATAGCAAATTCTATTTTCAGAATTTTAAAGGTGTCAGATTCTTAATCTCTTCTGGACCTGGGGAAAGGGGTAGAAAGGGAGGGGGCATGGCTGCATTAATGAAGATTTCTACAGAGGCAAATTTTTCTCACTTAAGACAGCTTTGCAAGGCCCGTTTTTTTCAGGATGGCCAAGTGGTCGTCATTTAAACATATGCTGTTTATATTAAGTATAAAGGTAGCTGCATTGGGCAGGACTGGTAAATATTTCTGAAGAACTGATTTAGAAAATTTAACTTGATGTACAAATGTTTTATTTACTCTTTTGATTTTGAGAAATCACTTGGAATCACAACATATCAATGTCAAATGTTCACTACTTAGCTTAGAACCAGTTACTTAAACATTTCCCCTATTAAATGTGTGTGACCCTGAATTGGTCTTTTGAACAGTTTTTCAAATTCTTCGTTAAGATTACTAGTAGCAAGATTATATTTTCAAGGTGATCTATCTGTTGTTAGGAATTATAAAAAGGTATTATTACTGAAGTAAATTAAGAAAATGTTTTATGATTTTTAACCTAGGTTGTATATGTGTAAATCTCTTAAAGCAAAGAGTGAAATCAAATGAAATCATTAATACTGTCACTTTACTTTCACAGCAGTTCTGCTGCATTTCTGTCGGTCAGGCAGCAAAAACACAGAATAATAAACCTTCATGAAAGAAACTAATGAATTCATTACTTAGTTACTCATTTACGTATGTGCCATTTTATTTTTTAAAATATTTTTTGTAAACCAAAATTAAAATTCTATGCTCCCCAACAGACTGAATGTATCCCTCATCTTGGCCAAGGGCATTCCAAAGCAAACCTGAAAAACTAGTTCTGGCCATGATGGGAAGGAGGGTCCGACACACCTCACTTCTCTCTTTGGAATTCAGGCACAACTGACCAGCATTCACATTAAAACAGAGATCTTAAGAGTAATAAAGCAGACTCTTTTAAACCATGAGGTACCAAATTCCAACCTGACTCAAGTATAGAAATGCATGTCAAATAGGAGGCACTGAAGGAAATTGAAATATTTTACCCCAAAATATATTTGATGTATTTTGAAAAGGCCCAAAACTGTCTCTTGTGAGCAAAGTCTACACTCTGTAGAAATCCTCTTCTCTTTCTAGGTCTTTTCCTGATCCAGGAGAAATTAACTATGGCATCTTTTTAGTTATGATTGGAGATGTTAACCATCTATTCTCTCTGTAGTCTGCTACCTAAGAGGCTTTTTCTGCATAATAAGAACCCTGGCCTCCACAATTCCTTATCTTAACCCAGGCACTATTTTCTATTGATTCCAGGCCTTTGGCTAATAACATAACTCTTCCAACAAATTGCCAATCAAAAAAAATCTTTGAATCCACCTGTGACCTGAAGCCCCCACTTTGAGTTGTCGTGCATTTCTGGATTGAACCAATGTACACCTTACATGTATCTATTGATGTCTGCTTTTAACTTCTGTCCCCCTAAAATGTATAAAATCAAGGTATAACCCAATCACAGTGGGCAAATGTCTCAGGACCTCTGGGGCTGTGTCACAGGTATTGGTCACTCATATTTGGCCCAGAATAAGCCTCTTTAAATATTTTACTGTTTAATGCTTTTTGTCAACATTTTTACCTCTTAAAAGTATTAATGAGCAAATTAAATATACTTGATTTGCTCTGGGTTATTCCTTTATTTCAGTTTTATTAACTGTAAACATGAAGGATGAAAATTCATTATTTTCTCTCAATGACTTATGTAATCAAACATAAGTTTTACGTAAATTAACACACAGCACGTGTGCCTCTTAACAGAGCTATAAATTAAACTTTAATTAATAGATTTTTGTAACTCTCCTTGGCTCTATTTTAGTTGATGTTCAGTCATTAGATCAAATTAACTAAAGTCTTTATAGCCCTTAAATGTACTTAATGCATATTCACTTCCATTTTCTCTTTTGCTTCAAAGAGTTTAAGTAATATGGTTCCAAGGTCATGATGCTGTTAAGTTGCAAATTTAGGAATATAGAACTATCTAATGTTAAGTTCCCACATTTTTTATTTACACTTTTTAAAAATCTCTCTATGATACCACAAATACACACAACATTTACAATTAAAAGTTGATATTACTGCCGTTAATATTCTCAACCAGCCCAATCACAAAAGTACTTTCCAACTTTCTCTATGTTGCTTAGCTCCTCCCTGTTTCTGTTACAGGCAGCAAATCTGTACAGGTCTGCAGCAACCTCAGTTCCTGCCCTCTCAGAAGAAAGAATTTGACCACGGGGCATAAAGCACAGTAAGAGATTGAAGCAAGTTTTAGAGCTGGAGGGAAAGCTTTAAGAAAGTTTTAGAGCAAGAACGAAAGTAAAGTACACTTGGAAGAGGGACAAATAGGTGACTTTAAAGATCAAGGCATGGTTTGACCTTTTAACCTGGGATTTGATATGTTGGCATGTTTTTGGGGTTTTGTGTTACTTTTCTCCTGATTCTTCCCTTGGAGCTGGCTATCCATATGTGCAGTGGCCTGCCAGCTCTTGCGGGGAGAGCGGGGGTGCATGCGCAGTGCGTTTACTGAAGTTGTGCACACACTCACTTGAGGGGTTCCTCCCTTACCAGTTGAGAGTTCCTGGAGGAAGGCCATAAACCAGTTAAACCCTGATATTTTTGCCTCTTAGTGTGCATGCTCGAGCCCACTCACCCAATTCCTGGGATCTTATCGGGAAGCTGCTGATCACCAGTTTCAGGTTTTTTCTATTGGGAGACTGCCTTTCCCGGTGCCGGTGGCAGGACCAATTATTATTTTAGAGAAACAGTGTAACGACTGCCTGACCATCACCTGATGGTAGCCTGACATTACTTATTGGGTCGAGGGAGCCCTCTCCTGCTCTGTTCATGTCTGACTAGCTGCCACTTGTAATTCTTCAAAGTTCATCTTCTCGCTTATATCTTCACTGCTCATGCTACCCATTTTCTTCTTAATTAGAAGATGGACAGCTCTGCTTATATAACTCAAGTATATTAATTCTAACCCCATAGAATCTCATCTTCATCTCCAATATTTTCACTTTTTCTGTTGCATATAGATTCAGCTATCCCTAAAACAAAAACAAACAGAAAACTGCTACTGTGTATACATTCTTGCAAATATCTCTTTATAATTAACATTAAGACCACTGTTATTACCTCTGTTTCACAGATATGGAATATAAGATTCAGGAAATTTTACTTACACAAAGACACAAAGAACTAGAAATTAAAACTTTTGAAATAAGCAGTGGGTCTCCTGGACTGTCTAGTAGAATAAGGATACCTAGGCCGCACTGTGTATTTAACTGAGTTTGGGAGCCAAGTAGTTTTAGAGAAATTCATCACGGCTTTATGATTTTCTACAGTAGTGAAAAGCAGCCTGGGTTTATGCTTGGGGGAAAAAAATGGGAGAACTGAGTTGCATTAGGATTTTACTAAGTGTGTAAATGAGAGATAGTAATAGGAGTTGTTGAAAACCTTTCCAAAGAGTTTTAGGAGTGATAACTTGAACCACAACAAAGGGGTGAAGGAGGGAAATAAAGACAAGTGGGAAAGAAATATAGGAATACAACAGAGTTCTAGAACACCATTGGATTTCTTGATAAGTTCAATTAATAGACATAGTAGAAGTACTTAGCATACATTTTGGAACAAAATAAAGCTTTATTGAATGACTAACTTTAATATTTCAGAAATAGATTATTTTCTTCTTCTAATAAGGTCTAGTCTATTATTATAGGTTAGGGCCACTCATAAATTTTTAAGTTTAAGAAACATAAAGATGAAAAGATTAAGGAACCAAGAGCCAAGATTTTACATAATTCTGAATTTGGATAAAATCAGAATTGTTGATTTATTCTGAGATCCTTATTCTACTGCTGTTAAAAATACTTCAAAATTAAGCAATAATTGATTATTTTCGCCCTTCATTTAATTAAGATTATTAGAGATACCATATGTCAACCTTTATTACTTTTATCTGATAATTTATTTTAATCTTCGTTGGCATTTAGGATCTCTGACTTCTGGGTGAAAAATCAGGTAATGATTCTTACTTGGGAACAATGCCGAATAATAACATATATAGCTGATTATCACAATATGGTTAGAGGTTCAAAAATGATATAAAAGGGAAGAGTTCTACATTGACAAGAAGATAGTCATAGCCAATAACATTCATCAAAAATTACCATCAATAGTCATTTCTAATACTTAGCACTTTCATACATGTACAAACAAGAAAGGCTGCCATTTGCTTCCCTTAAAGCTGGGATGTCACATCATTCTACTCTTTATGCAGGCTAGTTGGTCATTTTAACCAGAGAATTTACTCTGCTTTTCATTCCAAGGTATGATGAAGAAAATGTAATTTTCCCTAGACTTCTTGTTTATTTTAATTAAAAAAAATTATGGTCATCTTAGCTCTCAATTTTTTCCCCTGCTTATTTGGGATGTCAGTTGATGCTACATACACAAAAGTAAATTACAGAATCTTCCTGCTGTCAAACCCTTCCTGCTTTTGTCTTTACCTCAAAATTGGTTTAGTTACCTCTCGCTGGTTTAACAGAAAATGTTGGAGCAACTTAGTACATTCTTGGATTTACAATATTTACATGATTTCGTATGATCTTTAGTAACCAAATTCTAGTGCTGTAGATACAATGAAATTAATTTAAATCTGATAAAATAGCCAATGTAAGAGATCTCATCATCCAAATCCAGCAGTCAGAACTTAATTCATTAGCAATAGGAATTCAAGAAACATGTCCAGTGGAGGATTTTGATATAAAGCTTGGCCACTATTTTTCATGCATCCCTATATACACATCTTTCTTATGGTGCCTTGCCATACTAACTACAGATTTAGCCTTCTGATTCTTTTTCCAGTAAGTAGACAGTAGCATATTGGATGTAAGCAGAAGCTTGAAAATTTGTGTTATGTCTCTGCTTACTTCCTTGGGCCCCTGTCAACATCATGATAAAAAGCCTAGGCAAACCTACTGACATATGAGAGACCATGGAGAACAAAGCAATGTCATTGGAGTTAAGGCCATTAGGCTCACTCACCTTACCAAATAGTTAGTTGCATATTCACAAACGGGCAGAGTCAGGATCAGCACACCCATTTGGCTATTGGTAGATTTGGGAGAAAATGTAAAAGCTCACTGTTTTTACTTTATAAGTTTGAGAATAGTTTGTTATACAGCAGTAGCTAACAACTAGAGAATGTTTATAGTGAATAATATTTTAAGACACCCTTAAGGAACTATCATTCTTCCAGATAATATATATCTTCTAAAGTGGAAAGTTGTTATAGTACTGAGGGGAAGATGGACCAAGGATGCATCTCTTAAGTTTGAAGATATAACAATGAAAGAAGGATTTTGCTTTAACAGTTTATATTCTGCTCTAAATATCAATTATAGAATAATATTCAGGAATGTTCATTTCCTGATTGCATGATATCTAGCCAAAAGCCTATAAGTTAACTTCTTTTAAATCATTCCAGCTACAAAAGACAGTGGCAAGTTTAAGGATAATGATCAAACCAAAAACTAAGGGGTCAACTACTGTACTCATTTCTAAATCTTTCAAGGTAATTTTCAAATTAGAATAGCAATGAAAGCTGTGAGCAGATCAAATCTTTGAAATAAGTTATATAAATTTTAGTTATAACATGTGACAGACTAGAAGGTTTTAGAACCCCTCTAATCGGTTTCTAAAACCATATGGCTCAAAGACATAAGAATCATTGGAAATGTCTGTCTCAATAAAAATTCAGATTTCAAAATAAGATATAAAATGAATATTCAGTGAGAGCACATAAAATGTATAAACCCATGTAATGGGAATTGTATATAGTAAGTAGATTCAGGAAATAGAAAGGTAAAATTTTATCTGAAAAAAAAGAAAGCCCACAGCAACATGCAGAGGAAATATGGGAGAGAATAGAATAAAAGTTTATCTATGTGATGGTAATGTAGTGTTCAGTCCTTGAAGAAATTTAGACACAGAGTCCTTGAACTTACTGCACTGCACACTAACACCTGCAGAACTTGAGTCTGATTTCATCTCTGCCACTTATCTTGAACAAATGGAGCATTTTATTTATCCCAATTTCCTTAGCATATAAAAACAGCAATGATTCATAGATGATTTGGGAGTACTAAATAGCAAAGCATGTGGGTAGCATTTCATAATCAGACAGTAAAATTAATACTAAAACTGATTTTTAACTAAT